>NC_000015.10:89926126-90077641 GCF_000001405.40 Homo sapiens | reverse complement strand
TATCTTATAGATTTGGGCTGTTTCTTCCCTCAGTCCTAGTGCCACACCCTCATGTTACACAGCTGGTTTCAAAAACAAGCTAAATAAAGCACCTTGGGGGCCAGGCGCAGTGGCTCATGCCTGTAATCCCAGCACTTTGGGAGGCCAAGGCAGGCAGATCATGAGGTCAGGAGATCAAGACCATCCTGGCTAACACCGTGAAACCCCGTCTCTACTAAAAATACAAAAAAATTAGCCGGGCGTGGTGGCAGGCGCCTGTAGTCCCAGCTACTTGGGAGGCTGAGGCAGGAGAATGGCGTGAACCCAGGAGGTGGAGCTTGCAGTGAGCCGAGATCGCGCCACTGCACTCCAGCCTGGGTGAAAGAGCAAGACTCCGTCTCAAAAAAAAAAAAAAAAAAAAAAGCACCTTGAGAAAATTTCTACTTGTGGATCTCTGTACACCGTCCCCATTTTGTTTATTAAGTCTATGGTCCCGTCCTGTGGGCCCCAGAGAATAGTCTGTAGCATTTTTTATAAGGACATTGATCCACCTCCCCAAATGACAGCCCCATAGTTACTAGATCGTTCTGTCTAGAATGTATGCTGCCTTCCTTCTGCATACGCATCAAGCCTGGGCTTCCCAGACCAAGGCTGTATGAGGGAGGTGGGGACCTGGAGCCCAGTCATTCCAGGGCCAATCGCTTCCTTCTGTCATCTGGTACGGCCAGGAATAGAGGAATTCTAAGCATCCCTGGTGACTGAGCTCATATAGAAAGAGGTTGTGCCTTAACCACCCCGAGGAACAAGGTGTACAGGGACAGTCTTTTTAAAAAATCTTGTTTGGGTGGTGGGATGGGGGTGGGGCGATTTCTGGTAAAAACTGGAAAACCTGCTAAATGAATGCTTTTTTTTTTTTTTTTTTGAGTCAAAGTCTCACTCTGTCACCCAGGCTGGAGTGCAGTGACACAATCTCGGCTCACTGCAACCTCTGCCTCCCAGGTTCAAGTGATTCTCCTGCCTCAGCCTCCCGAGTAGCTGGGATTACACGCATGTGCCAACACGCCCAGCTAATTTTTGTATTTTTAGTAGAGACGGGGTTTCATCATGTTAGCCAGGCTGGTCTCGAACTCCCAACCTCAGGTGATCTGCCCACCTTGGGATTTGCCTCCCAAAGTGTTGGGATTATAGGCGTGAGCCAGTACGCCCAGCCTAACAAATTCTAAAAGAGCTGTAACACTGACAGTCTCTTCATGGTCCCAGTTATTTCCAAAAGGGCACGTTCTGCTCTGGTTCCTTCTGGTGGGTTAGCAACAGGGCAGATCCACTAGAATACAGCTCTCAAAATCTACTGCACATGGACTCACCCAAAGTGCTTTACAAAAATCCTGATCCCAGGCCACATTCCAGATCACTTACATTTGAACCTCAGGTCCAAACTCAGGCATCAGCATTTAAAACATTCCTCAGGTGACTCCCAACATGCAGCTGATTTGCCAGCCAGCCCTCTGCAGTCTGGATCAAAGGTTCTCAACATGAGGTCCCTGAACCAGCGGCTGCTTTGCTAAGAACTGGGAACTTGTGGGAAAGGCAGCGTCTCAGACCCCACCCCAGATCTACTGAATCAGAAACTCTGGGGGTGGGGCCAGCACTTTGTTTCAACAAGCCCTCCAGGAGACTCTGAGGCACTAGTCTGGTCCAGTGGGTCTCAAACTTGACTGCAACAAATGGCCCAGAGATCTTTTTGAAGTGTAGAGTCTGACTCAGCAGGTGTGGGTGGAGCTGAGAGGCCAGCAAGATCCCAGGTGGGGCCGAGGCTGCTCATCCTCCTACCACATTTTGAGTAGCAAGGAGCTACCAAGAGCAGCCGACGGGGTTTCATTCTCGTCTACTGGAAGCAACCTTAATAGACAACTGAAAAACAAAACAAAACAACTGAGATACCTGTTTCTGCCAGAAAACCCAGGCCATTCACTGGTCAGCTGTTCCAAAACCAGAGTTAAGCTACTGCAGCTGTTCCCGCGTGCCTGCCTGCATTCCAGTAAATAATCCCACGTGGCAAGTCAGCTCACCTGGTTACTGCCAAAGCATGTTCCCAGCTGGTGTGACTCAGAGGCACACCAGAATTTCTTTATTATAATTTGGCGATAGGGTCTTGCTTTGCCACGCAGGCTGGAGTGCCGTGGTCCGATCACAGTTCACTACAGCCTTGAACTCCTGGGCTCAAGTGATCTTCCTGCCTTAGACTCCCAAGTAGCTGAGATTATAGGCACACGCCACCACACCCAGCTAATTTAAAAATATTTTTGTAGAGACCAGGTCTCACTATGTTGCCTGGTTTGGTATCAAACTCCTGGCCTTAAGGGATCCTCCTGCCTCGGCCTCCCAAAGTGCCAGGATTATAGGTGTGAGCCATCATGCCCAGCCAGAGCACCAGAAATAGCTCCCAACTGTAGAAGGAGCCTCCCTGTAGCGCTGTTGGCTCCCTCCTTCCTGTGGAGTCTCCACAGCAGTCCCTCCCCACCATGAGGCCAGAGAGGCTAACAGCTTTGCTGTCACCCAACAGAAATGCTTTAAGTACTGACCACTGCTGGAGGGAAAGGCTACCGCTAACACTTGGGATGTTTTCTGACAGCCTCTGAAACTTCTACGAACTGCTGAGGCATAGGATCCTCTCCTAAAATTTCTCCCAGATCTTAACGTCAGGGCTGTCTGGCCCTTTCATGAGTATGTGGGTTATAGTCTCTGGCAGGCACTTGTGAAGAGTGTGACTGATTGACACTTTTTTGCCTTGGTTGCTGGGAAGCTCAGATCTCCCCTCTGCATGTCCCTTGCTTAGGACCTCCCATGGTGTACTTGGAGTTGGGACCTCACCTGGCTCTCCCTTATCTTTCCGGCTGCCATTTTTTCCCCTTTCTAACTTTCTTTCCCATACACTTATTTGAAATATTATCTCACGGTAACGAAATAAAGTGTCTGTCACCTCCTGCTGTGTTGTCATCTTGCATGAGCTATCTAAGTTCTCTGTTCTTCAGTTTCTGCATCTGTAAAACGATGACAATGACAGAGCCAACCTCGCTTTGAGGATCACATGAGTTAATAAAGGCCTGGCACACAGTTAGCACTCAATAAATGTTAGTTATGATTTTTATTATATTGTTTACGTGATCTCATTTAAGTCCTTTGAAGAAGACATAAATATCCCATCGTTATTGTCATCATGGCCTTCCAGGGTACCCCCCTTCCAGACCTGAGCCCACCCCAACGAAGTCTCAGCCTTGGCCAGCCTCCCCACTCCTCTAACTGGGCAGGAGGCTCCTGAGTGCGTCATGTTGGTATCATTCCTGCTCTGTCCATTGCGCTTGGCCCACCCACCTTGGCTGTCCAGGCCGATGTCCATGACGCCATGCTTGACCTTCATGTGCCGGCTCAGGTTGCCCTTGAGATTAAACTTGCTGGAGCAGTAGGGGCACTTGAAGGGCTTGCTGCCGGCGTGCAGGTGCATGTGGCCCAGCAGGTTGTACATGCGGTTGAAGGACTTCCCGCACACCTAGAACACATCAACCCGGTGTCCTGAGCCTGTGGGGAACCTGCTTTCCCCGGACCCCAGCCCACTCCCACCTCTATGGCTGGGCCAGAATCCTATTCTTTTGTTTTTTTTTTTTGTTTTTTTTTTGAGACAGACTCTCACTCTGTTGTCCAGGCTGGAGTGCAGTGGCATGATCTCGGCTCACTGCAACTTCTGCCTCCTGGGTTCAAGAGATTCTCCTGCCTTAGTCTCCCGAGTAGCTGGGACTACAGGCACGTGCCACCACGCCCAGCTAATTTTTTGTATGTTTAGTAGAGAAGGGGTTTCACCACATTGGCTAGGCTGGTCTCGAACTCCTTACCTCAAATGATCCACCCACCTCAGCCTCCCAAAATGCTGGGATTACAGGCATGCACCACCATGCCTGGCCCAGAATCCTGTTCTTTATGGACAGTTCTCTCTTTATGCTTTTCCATGTGACCCCAGACACCCGAGAGACAGGGACACAAGCCATCCATTGGGGGTCACTGCTCCTGTGAGTCTGCCCCACTTTCTCTGAGCTGCACTTATCAGAAACCCAGGGCTTGGATCTCTAGCTGCACTAAGCCCTCAGGCTGGGGTCCTTTCTCTGTGGCTGCACCATGACCTTCACTCCCTCCCCAGCTCTCAGAAAAACCCAACTTCAGCAGCTTTCAGGATGTGAATCCCCGCCTGCCCTCCCAACCCCCAAAGCCCAGGCTAAGTTTCACCCAGCCGGGGCTCCTCTTGCCCGCACTGGCCAGGCTGGCGCTTGGTGGGCCACAGCTGCTGCAGGCATGCTGATTCCAGACCACCCTCGGGGAGGTCCCAGCCCCGGGGCCTGATGACCGGGTACCTTGCATTTGAATGGCTTCACGGGCGAGTGTACAATCATGTGGGTCTTGAGAGTCTGCTTCTGTACAAAGGTCTTGAAGCAGATGTGGCACTGGTAGGGCCGGACGCTGGTGTGGATCAGCATGTGCCGCTTCATGTTCGCCTGTAGGGTGAACTCCCGGCCACACACCTCGCACTTGAACTCCTTCACGCCCTGTGGGGTGGGGGGTGATGGTCAGGGCCACACAATGGGCACAGCCTCTGGCAGTGACCCTTTGTGGGGAGCCGGGTAGGGGCAGGGCCATAGCATCACAAAGGCACACTTTCTGGGAAATGTCTCTTTTTGAGGGTATTCCAAAATAGGTAACACTTGTTTAAAACCACCGAAGAATGTGGGGGCAGAGCCACTTACTCCAGGAAGCCTTTCAGTAATAGAAATAGGCTGTGCTTTACTGTAACGATCCAGATACCTGCTGTCTCCTGCCCCCAGGGTGGATGTGTACATAAGGTCTGTACTAGTGCACTAAGGCAAATGTGTGCTCATTCATTCATTCATTCAACAACCATTTACCGGGCACCTGCTCCAAGCCAGTACCACACTAGGCGGCAGGGGTCTGTCGCCAAGAAGACACAGGGTCTGCCCGCTGTCTGTGGACTATTTCATCAGATCAAGGACACGTGTATGTGTTTTTATCCTCCATGCTGTCTCTTGGTGGCCTTTTTGGTTCAGACCCTTTTGATAATATGATTGAAGCTATGGACACCCCCCCAAAAATGGCACTTAGGTCTATGTAGAATTTCGAAGGGTCTCAAACTCCCAGAGCCTATCCACTCATCTCTTGAAAGTGTTTTCCTAATTTCCCTGGTGATAACAGCCACCTGTAGTTCTCATCCAACATACAGCCTTGCAGGCCGCTCCCTGGAGGGTCTAATTCATGGGGCCTGGGATGGGCCCAGGAATTTTTATTCTCAACAGGGCCCCCAGATGATTCTTATCATTGATGGACTTTGGGCTATTCACCCCCAGGAGACATGGATTCCAGGAGAAAACCCACTGGTTTGGACTGTGAACTTTCTTTTCTACGGTTTGGAGGTCACTCCCAGAGCAGGACAGGGTGTTGTGTGCAAAGGGGTCCAATTTATTATCCATGGAGGAAAATTAGGATAAAAGCTGGGAGCTGGGCTGGGCACGGTGGCTCACACCTGTAATCCCAGCATTTTGGGAGGCTGAGGCAAGAGGATCACCTGAGGCCAGGAACTCAAGACTAGTGTGGACAACATAGCAAGACCCTATCTCTAAAATTTGAAAAAGGCCGGGCACGGTGGCTCATGCCTGTAATCCCAGCACTTTGGGAGGCTAAGGTGGGCAGATCACAAGGTCAGGAGTTCGAGACCAGGCTGGCCAACATGGTGAAACCCTATCTCTACTAAAAATACAATAATTAGCTGAGCGTGGTATGCGCCTGTAATCCCAGCTACTCAGGAGGCTGAGGCAGTAGAATTGCTTAAACCCAGGAGGCGGAGGTTGCAGTGAGCTGAGATCACACCACTGCACTCCAGCTTGGGTGACAGAGTAAGCCTCCGTCTCAAAAAAAAAAAAAAAAAGAGTAAAAATAAATAAATAAAAGAAATTTTTTTTAAGTTGGGAGCTGTTTTCTTTTTGATGAGTTAGTAATTTAGTAGGAACCCAGTGGGACATGTGTCTGTGGTCACAGCTGCTGTCTTAACTGCTTGTTTGGTATAAAAACTTTGTATTATAACTTAATGGTTCCCGTGTCTATGTCTCTTAGCAGCAGGGACTGTGTCTTGTGCTGTATACCCCCTCCTGACACATCGCAGATGTGTATGACCACCAGGGGGCCCTGCCATTCAGGAGTTTCTTTTATAAACACATGATGTGCACATTGTACAAATTTAGGCTGATAATAGGGACATTTCCAGTTTTATTAGCCTTTGGTTTTTGCTTTCAGCTTTTCTTCACAGTATTAACACTCTGTGGACTTGGGATTTTTTTTTTTTTTTTAAGACAGAGTCTTGCTTTTGTTGCCCAGGCTAGAGTACAGCGGCACGGTCTTGGCTCACTGCAACCTCTGCCTCCCGGGTTCAAGCAATTCTCCTGCCTCAGCCTCCCGAGTAGCTGGGACTACAGGCGCCCACCACCACGCCCAACTAATTTTTGTATTTTTAGTAGAGACGGGGCTTCACCATGTTGGCCAGGTTGGCCTCGAACTCCTGACCTTGTGATCTGCCCGCCTCGGCCTCCTAAAGTGCTGGGATTACAGGCGTGAGCCACTGTGCCAGGCCCTGGACTTGGGATTTTTAAGTCCCCCAGTAGAGGAGAAAGATGGCAAATATATAGCATATATGCTGTCACCCTGCACAATCACTCCTTGCAGACATTAACAATCCATCATAGGGTTTTATTGCCAAGCCTAGATTCAGTTTCAGAATCCTTTTCTCTTTTTGGAGACAGAGTCTTGCTCTGTTGCCCAGACTGGAGTGCAGTGGCGCAATCACAGCTCACTGCAGCCTTGACCTCCTGGGCTCAAGCAATCCTCCTGCTTCAGTCTCATGTGTAGCTGGACCACAGGTGTGTGCCACCATGCCTGGCTAATTTTTTGATTTTTTTCTTTTTTTTGAGATAGAGTCTTGCTCTGTCACCTGGGCTGGAGCACAGTGGTGTGATCTCGGCTCACTGGAATCTCTGCCTCCTGGGTTCAAGCTGGGACTACAGGTGCACACCACCACACTCAGCTATTTTTAAAAAATATTTTTAGTAGAGCCAGGGTTTCACTATGTTAGCCAGGCTGGTCTCAAACTCCTGGGCTCAAGTGATTCTCCTGCCTCAGCCTCCCAAAGTGTTGGGATTACTGTTAGCCATTGCATCCAGCCCAGAATTCTTCCTTTTTTTTTTTCTTAAAAAAAAAAAAATGTCTTGCTATGTTGCCCAGGCTAGAGTGCAGTGGCTATTAATAGGAGCAATCATAGCCTCAAACTCCTGGGTTCAAGCAAACTTCCCACCTCAGCCTCCTGAGTAACTGGGACTACAGGTGTGCAGCACCATGCCTGGCTAGACTCTTTCTTGACATTACATTTTAGGCAGCTACTAGCAGTTGACTGCAGGAGCCTCTGCAATGAAACCTACAAATTGCTGGTTTCTAGGCCTGGCAGGGTATTAACAGCTCCCCAACTCCCTATAGTGTCTACCGTGAGAGACAGGGTCACAAGTTTGACCTGGAGTATCACTCATAGGCCACCGTTATGGGGAGAGGAAGCTCTATGTACATTCAGCTTTGAAGGGTAAAGTTGGTGGGATTTCGGTGGAAACCATGGGGCAGCCAAGTACCAGAGTGGGATTGTGGGACCCAAGGGGCCTCATTCCACCTACCCGGATATGAGGGCCTCTCAGAGGAGGTGATATTGGCTGAAAAGCGGGGAGGCTGGTGGCTGAAGGCGGGGAATGGAGGGCAGGGGAGTACGGGTCAAGGCTGGGTTTAGGGACATGGTAGATTAGAAAGTGCTGCTCAATTTCTGCCTTCCCGAGCCACTGTGCCTAGTTTAGCCATATTCTAGAACTACCTGTACTTTTCCATAACAAATATTTTTCCTTACATCTTCTCTGCTTTGAAAATTAAATATATTTAGCCTGTTCTTAAAGGGAAGTCACAGGTTTTGATTTGCTTTTGTAATGACAAGGAACAAAGGACACCCTCTGTACTTCTGACCACTGAGCCAGGACGCCTCCCTGTTGCATCCTGGCCTCTCTCTGGCCTCTGTCCTCCCATCTAGAAAATAGGGAGGGTAAGATACTTCAGTGATCCTCAAACTGTGTTCCTTGGGTCTTGCAGGGGTTATAAAAATGATTTTTTTTTTTTGGAGACAGGGTCTCAGTCTGGTTGCCCAGGCTGAAGTGCAGTATCGTGATTTCAGCTCACTGCAACCTCAGCCTCTCAGGCTCAGGTGTTCCTCCCACCTTAGCCTTCCAAGTAGCTGGGACTATAGGTGTATGCCACCACACCCGGCTAATGTTTAAATTTTTTTTTTTTTTTTTTTTTTGAGATGGAGTTTTGCTCCTGTTGCCCAGGCTGGAGTGCAATGGTGTGGTCTCGGCTGACTGCAACCTCTGCCTCCCGGGTTGAAGCAATTCTCTTGCCTCAGCCTCCCAAGTAGCTGGGATTACAGGCATCCACCACCACACCCAGCTAATTTTTGTATTTTTAGTAGAGACAGGGTTTCACCACATTGGCAAGGCTGGTCTTGAACTCCTGACCTCAGGTGATCTGCCCGCCTTGGCCTCGCAAAGTGCTGGGATTACAGGCATGAGCCATCACGCCTAGCCATGTTTAAATTTTTTTGTAGCGATGGGGTCTCATTATTTTGCCCAGGCTGGTCTCAAACCCCAGGACTCAAGCAATCTGCCTGCCTTGGCCTCCCAAAGCGCTGGGATTACAGGCATGAGCCATTGTGCCTGGCCAAATACATGTTTTTGAATGCATAAAGCTTTACTACTTAAAAAACTAATTTCAATTAGTTTCTAATACTAATTGATTTCTAATACTCATCAAAATAAGTACGTAACGATAAAACTAGGAGACCACCTAAATGGTCCCATCTGGGACTTTGGAAAGTACTGGATGAAAAAGTGGCAGGAGGGGCAGGCAGATGCCCAGGCCCTGGGAACGGCCTTACCTTGTGGGTGAGGGAGTGCTGCTTGAGGTGGTGAATCTGGCTGAACTCCATGCCGCATTCAGTGCACACGAAGGGTCGCACGTTCTGGTGCTTGAGCATGTGGTTCTGCAACTGGCTGCGGTAGTGGAAGGACTTGTCACACTCGAGGCACTGGTAGAGGGTGGGGCCCTGGTGGGAGGCCAGGTGGCGCTTGAGCTGGGTCAGGGTGGAGAAGTCCAGGCCGCACTCGACGCAGACATGGCAGCGGCCACTCTCATGCTTCACTTCGTGGGCCTTGAGCTCGCTGGGGTAGGCGAAGCCGCGGCCGCAGAAGTGGCAGCTGTAGGGCTTGACCTCCGAGTGCAGCAGCATGTGGCGCTTGAGGTGGCTGGTCTGCGTGAAGGCCTTGTGGCATACCTGGCACTTGTGGGGCCGGGTGCCCTGGTGCGTCAGCAGGTGCGTCTGCAGGTGGCTGGGCTGCTTGAAGAGCTTGCTGCAGTGTGGGCACGAGTGTGGCTTGATGCCGTTGTGGCCCAGGATGTGCGTCACCAGGTTGTACTTGGACGTGTAGGACTTCTCGCACATGCGGCACTGCCAGCGCTTCTGGCGGTCGCCCGCCTCCACCAGATAGGAGTCGTCAATCTGCACGTTGATGTCCAGCCGATCCAGCTGGGCCTTCTTGTGGCGTTCCACGGTCGAACCCGCCGTGTCAGCCTCGAACTCACTGGCCTCCTGCCACACGAAGCCCTGTTCCGGCTTGACAGGCTCCGGGGACTCCATGCTGGGGGCCTCGGGGTCACTCAGGGGGGCCAGGTGGGGTGGCTCGAACCCACACTCTGTGGGCAAGGCCTCTGGCCCAGGCAGCGCCATGCTGGGCTCGGGGAAGCCATCCCGGGCCGGGGCCGGGAAGTGAGGGTCATATGGGGCCACGTTCAGCTCCGGCCTCGGGGTTCGGGGCAGATGCCGGAGCGTCCGGGGCTTGCGGCTGAAGGCGCTGAGGTCGATCATCTTGACGGCGCTGCTCTGCACCAGGGCGTCGCAGCCGCCACTGGCCGCCTCGGCGGGGGCTTCTGCTGGCCCTGCGTCCTTGTCGTCACCTGGCACAGAAACCTCATAGACCTCCTGTTCCTCCTCCTCCACCTTCTCGAACTTGACCTTGGGCACCAACCGCACAGGTGGCCGCGTCTTCCGCCGGGTGTGCTTCTCACAGGCTGCCTCCACCTCCAGCACCTCCTCCTCCGCCGGCTCCTCCAAGGCCCTCCCGTTGCAGGCCAGCTGGTAGACGTCGGGGCCTGGTGGCTCGGGCTCTCCCATGGCTGCCCCTGAAAGCTCGGGCCCCAGGTCCGGGTAGAAGGCCTCGGCGCTTATGGTAGCTCCAAAGAGCTCATTTTCGGAGACCAGGCCAAGCACGGCGGCCTGAGCCAAGGACAGCACCACCACGGCGTCCGTCTGTGTCCCTGAGTCCATGAAGCCCTCCATCCCGTGACGGCTAGCTAGGAGGGCATCGCTGTGGGTGGAGAAGGGAAGGTTAATATTGCTGGCTCACTCCTGCACAGACAGACAACAGACACAGCACAGACAAGGGCTTGGCTGATTTTGGGTGTGTCTGGCTCTGATGTCTTTTCTACTCCTGGCCTTGGGAACAGGGCACACTTGTTATTATAGGGAGCAGTGATTCCTGCTGTGTATCTGACCATCTCCTCCATCTCCCTGGGAGATCCTGGGGTAAGCTCTGCCCCCTTGCTGGCCTCAGTCTTCCCATCTGTACAACAGGGAGGTGGGATTTCCTCAATTGTTCTCAAATTGTGTTCTACAGGTCCTTCAAGAATTCCTTAAAAAGACCGGGCATGGTGGCTCACATCTGTAATCCCAGCACTTTGGGAAGCCAAGATGGGCAGATCACCTGAGGTCAGCAGGAGTTTGAGACCAGCCTGGCCAACATGGTGAAATCCTGTCTCTACTAAAAATACAAAATTAGCTGGGCGTGGTGGCCGGCACCTGTAATCCCAGCTATAGGAGGCTGAGGCAGGAGAATCACTTGAACCTGGGAGGCGGAGGTTGCAGTGAGCCGAGATCGCGCCACTGCACTCCAGCCTGGGCAGCAAAGTGACACTCTGTCTCAAAAAAAAAAAAAAAAAAAAATCCTTAAAAATCGGATTCAAAAATGCAAAAAATAAAGATTCCACTATTTAAAAACTGATTTTAAAAGGCCCACCTACTCAAATGTAATATGTGCCACATTCTAACACATTCTACTGTAGCCCCACTGGCTTTGTTGCCAAAGTAATTAATTTGCACAGACCTTGGGACTGTGCGGTGAGGTGTTAACTGTCATTATTGGTAATGGCTCGGCTGTATGAACGAGAACGTATGGCAGAAACACAATATAAAAAAATAAACTAGGTGCTGAGGCCAATCTCAAACACTGGCTGTCACTTGTCAGCCCCGACGATAAACATCTGCATCTATCACAAGCAGTTGTTGTTTTTCTTGATTAGCTAAATGTTATACATTTAAATATCTAAATTTATACTGATAAAAATATCACTTTTATCTGATTTTATACGTTGGAGTTCCATGTCCGATCTGATTTGAAAGAAGAGCTCCTTGACAGCTAACATGTTTGAGGCCACTATCCGAATTGAATGCTCAAACAGGCTCCCAAGTTCACATTCACAATCTCTCAACTAACGTTTTTTTCTTTCTTTTTGATTAGAGATGGGGTCTTGCTCTGTTGCCCAGGCTACTGTGACACAATCATGGCTCACTCCTGTCTCAACCTCCAGCACTGAAGTGATCCTTCTGCCTCAGCCCCCCGAAATGCTAGGATTATAGACATGAGCCACTGTACCTGCCTCTAACATGATCTTCTAAATAGTGCCAATGTGCCCACGTGCCCAGGTACAAACCCCCAGCACAGCGGCCTCTTCCCTCGCTGGGGGCTCCAGCCACATATGGAGGCACCTGCTCCGTGAGCCGTCTGTGGAGCCCGGTCTTTTCACCCATGGGTCTTCCCACCTGGGGCAGCCTTTTCCCAACCCTGCTGACCCCTGCTCCTCCCACCAGCCTCCGAGGCGTGGCTCGAGGTCCACCTGCTCCTGGAGCCATCCCGGCTCTCCTGGCCTGCCCTCGTGCCCTCTCCAGGCTTCCAAGGACTGCAGCACGCCAGGCAGTGGCGACCTCCTCCTGGGCCTATACCCCTTGCCCTGGTTCAACACCTGGCACATCTGAGGAGAGGGGATGGCATTACTGGGGCGACTCTCGCCTGCTTTGCTCCCAGGGCTCCCAACGGACCAACTACCAGCCTCTCCCAGGGCCACGGTCAGGCACACGGTCGGCGGCCCTTCCTCAGGAAACCGGCTCCGGGCAAGGCGTCCCCCTCCCCCCAGCGCCCAGCGGAGCTTCCCCTTCCTGAGGACGGCTAAAAATACCCCAGACAGGAATTTAGCCTCCTTGAAACGGACACCAAAGATTAAACTATTAAGCTTAGAGTGAGGCTCTCGTGGAAGGGATCAGATAGAAGGAAACCTCGGCCTGGGGGGTCAGGGTGCATCTGGAATAGGCCGCAGGGGCTAAACGTGCTTCCAAACCACCACACCCCACCCCAATGTCCAGCTGCTGGGAAATGCAGTCAGCGAGGACCTCGAGTGCCAGCTCAGTCACTTGCAAGTGACTAAGCAAAGTCATGCCAGTGGCTCAGTTTCCCTATCTGAAAAACGGGGATGAAAACACTCACCCATGGAAGGGTTGTGAGGGCCCACGGTCCTAACACAGGTGAAGCAGCTTGGTTCATTATAAGGCCCTAACCAACTGTAAAGAATCACTGTTGGCAGGGGCATGGTGGCTCACACCTGTAATCCCAGCACTTTGTGAGGCTGAGGCGGGCAGATCACTTGAGGTCAGGAGTTCGAGACCAGCCTGGCCAACATGGTGAAACCTCATCTCTACTAAAAATACAAAAATTAGCCGGGCGTGGTGGTGGGTGCCTGTAATCCCAGCTGCTTGGGAGTCTGAGGCAGGAGAATCACTTGAACCCAGGAGGCGGAAGTTGCAGTGAGCAGAGATCGCACCATTGCATTCCAGCCTGGGTGTCACAGTGAGACTCTGTCTCAAAGGAAGAAAAAAAGAACCATTATTATCTGCCCAGATCTCTGGGAGAAGGCTTTTCTGAAAAAAGCCACAGAGCCAAGAGATGTTTCCATTCTTGGGCCCCAAATTCAGCAAAGCTTAAGTGATTCTGAGGACAACCACTAGAGAACTCATTCATTCATTTGTACAATAAATAGCCGCTAAATCCCTGCTATGGGTTAGGGCTTGTGCCTGGAGACAGCAAGGTGAATGAGGCAGGGGTCCTGCCCCTTGGGGCCCACCACAGCCACCCCCAGTGCCCTCCAGCCACTGTCAGTTTTGCAGAGCACGCTGAGGAGCATGGCTGCCTCCTGTCGCGACAGTCCGTCTGACACAGCACCCAGCGGCAACCCTCCTGTCTGTTGTGGGGTTTGGGCAAATGATGTGTTCAGCAGTTTTTGTAAACTTCCCCAAAGGCAGGACCAGCAAGAAGGAGGAACTGAGCATCAATGGCCAAGCCAGTGCTTCCCCCTTGGCCCTGGATGCTGAGTTCAATCCAGGCTCTGCCGTCTACTAGCCGTGTGACATCAGGTGATTCTCATCTCTATGGGGGGGAAGAGGCTCCTGACTCATGGGACAGTGAGATGAGGATGTCAGTGTCGTTAGTTCCCTTCCCTCTCCTTTCCCCTGCAGCCTAATACCAGGAATCAGCCCCCTCCCGCCAACCTCAAGGGCGCGGGCATAAGGAAACAGTTAACACTGCTTTAGAGGTGAGGAGAGGGCAAAAACGTCAGCCAGCGAACTGCCTGTGGGAGCTGAAGTGTGGTTCCCTACAGCAAGGGTAACCATGGAGCTGACCGTCCACACCGGGCCCCTTTCTACAAGGGGCCACTCCTTATAGTCACACCAGGACACCTGAAGCAAACCCCTTCCCATATGAACAGGTAGTTTGGACTTGAGAAGGTGCGTCTGTGTCAGGAGCCTGTGCTTGGCTGTAGAAAGGGACTAACCCAGAGTCCTTGTTCCTGAGGGTTTGTGCCTAAGTGGGGGCAGGGCAGGGGCACAGAGAGCTGCCAACAACTGACGACAAACACCACGGAAGACCTACAGCTTCTCATTACAGACACTCACGAGGTCCCCAGTCAGCCATTTAATACTAGGAACAACCCGGGGGGCAGGGGTGGGGTAGTGCGCTCCCCACCTCACGCCCCAGGAAATCCAGGCTTGAATAACACACTCCCAAGTGCCCCATCAATGAAGGGGGAGTTGGGTCTGCAGCCAGGCCCGTGTGGCCCCACAGCTGGGTCCCATCTGTGCTCCTGCAGCTATGCACCCGCGGAGGTCACACCCGAGCCTGGCTCCTCAGTTCTCAGGAGCTGTCCTGGGTCACCACAGGCCAGCAGGGGCACGTAGGCACGACCTGGGCAAACTGCAACATGAAGGCTCGGGCTGCTTCCTGGCTGGCTGGTCCAGGGCCCCAGCCGGCTGGGGGAACTGGGGTCTCTCCTTCTACTAGAAGTCTTCATTGAGCCACTGCCCACCTGGGCAGTTGGCCCCACGCTTTCTTTTACACTGGCCTGGAGACTTGGCTGAGTAGAACACACACCACCCTGTAATGCTCTCTTTGTGAGGCTTATGGGGGCAGGCCCCGTGTCCATGTTGTCTTGTTCACTGGGGCGGCCAGGCAGGCTGTGTGTGTGTGCGCGTGCGCGCGTGTGTGTATGCAGAAGGGGCTCTGCTGAGGAGGGAATCTAATTTACCTGCGTTTCGCATGTGTGTTCTGCCTGCCTATCGCACACGGAAATGAGGAGTGGGGAGGCCCGGTATCACTCTGTTCTCCCTCCTCCTGGGCCAGCATTGTGCCTCGTGTCTCCTCACCCGCTCTGTTCCATCTCCCAGGCTAAACCCTTCTGTTTATGTCCTGGCACAGGGCCATCCAGGGCAGGAAGAGAGCCTGCCAGGTGTGCGTCACCTGTGTGCCAGGGCTGCCTCCCCACCCAACCCAAGGCCCCTCTGTCATCCGCCTGGGGCCCCACTGGGGCCCCTCCCTTCTTAGAGCAGGGCCTCTCCCACCACTTGTGCTAAGGACTCAGAACAAAAGCTCCCCCCATGTCCAGGAGAAAGGGGAGCTCAGACTGCCCCAGGCTGGCAAGATGAGGGGCGACCACTGGCTGGGATGTGGCGTGGCCTCCCACCAGGATGCCCTCGGTCCCCAGGGTGGGGAGAAAGTCAATGTGAAAGGCGGGGAAATAGACACAGATGAGCTGCCTGATTGTAGTTGTGCTGGGAGTGGGGGAAGGGAGGACATATCAGAGAGAGAGAGAGAGAAAGGGAGAGGGAGAGAAGAAATGAAGAGACAGGGAAGGGGGGGCAGAGGAGGAGCCTGAGTGAGGGGGAGGGAGAGAGAATGAGGCTGTGGAGGCCAAGAAACAAAGGCGGGAGGGGGAGGGGCGTGCAGTGACACCGGAAGCCCAGGACTGCCCTATTTCCCAGGGCTCGGCACCTCCACCTCCCAGGCCTGAGGGCCAGGCCAGCCCCTGGGGAGGGAACAAAGACTCATCGTCTGGGGGCCAGCAGGGGACCTTCCCCACCCAAGCAGGGACGCCGTCTCCTCAGAGCTCTGGAATCTCTAACTGTGACTTCACCTACGGCTTTGCCCCATGGGTCCTGTAAAGGCTGGGCAAGTCGCCTGGCTCCTCCACCTGTCTCCATTTCCTGATCTGTAAAATGGGCACAAGAGCCTACTTGGAACGGGAACTATTGACCTACCTGCTGGTTACCAGGGTCCCTTCCCCAAGCTGTGACAGCACCTCCTCTCATCCCACACTGCTCACAACAGTGCTCCTTTCCTCTCATGGGGACCCCATCACTCTAGGAGCAGAGGAGGGTCGGGTGGGATCAGGGTGGCTGGTGTCCCTTGGGACACAGATCTCAGGGCAGAGAGTGGGTGAAGACACCCAAAACCTGGTCTCGCACGACAGGAGCCATTTTGAAGGAAGAACCAACAGGACCTTGTGGCCACCTGGACACTCTTTGACTAGTTCCCACCACCAGGGAGATCTCAAACACCAACTGAAGGGCGGGCGCGGAGGCTCACACCAGTAATCTCAGCACTTTGGGAGGCTGAGGCAGGCGGATCACTTGAGCTCAGGAGTTTGTGACCAGCCTGGGTAACGTGATGAGCTCTCATCTCTGCAAAAAAAAATGCAAAAATTAGCTAAGTGTGGTGGCATGCCTGTAGCCCCAGATATTTGGGAGGCTGAGGCAGGAGAATCGCTTGAGCCCAGGAGGCGAAGGTTGCAGTGAGCTGAGATCACGCCACTGCACTCTAGCCTGGGTGACAGGCGTGAAACCCTGTCTCAAAAAACAAAACAAAAAAAAGTATAGAAATAAAGAAAAAGCAAGCAAGCAAACAAACAAAAACAACCAATAGACAGAGGTCTGGGGCTTCTGCCAGGCCAGGCTTGGGACATCACCAACCACCCGTGATCAATGTAATTTGATGACTATTTCCTGAAGGTCCAGTGAGCCCATACTCCCTGACACAGCCTCAGCAGTGCCTCGAACTTATCCTGGAAGGCAGGCTTGCCTGTTGGCTCCTCATCTTGGCCTTGAATCACCAGGTTGCTCAGAGACTGCAGTCTCCAGCCCTGCAGCTGAACCTCTGACTTTTTATTTATTTATTTATTTTTTGAGACAGTGTCTTGCTCTGTTGCTCAGTCTGGAGTGCGGTGGAGCAATACTGGATCACTGCAACCTCTGCCTCCTGGGTTCAAGCAATTCTCCTGCCTCAGCCTCCAAAGTAGCTGGGATTACAGGCGCCCACCACCATGCTCGGCTAATTTTTTATATTTTTAATAGAGACAAGGTGTTCACCATGTTGGCCAGGCTGGTCTCGAACTCCTGACCTCAGGTGATCCACCTGCCTCGTCCTCCCAGAGTGCTGGGATTACAGGCGTGAGCTACTGCGCCCGGCCTGACTTTTTATTTTTTTAAGAGATGGGCCTTCCTCTATTGTCCAGGCTGGAGTGCAGTGGTGCCATCATAGCTCACTGCAGCCTCAAACTCCTGGGCTCAGGCAATCCTCCTGCCTCAGCCTCCCAAGTAGGTGGGACTAAAGGCATGTGCCACCACACCTGTCTAATTTTACATTGTTTTTGTAGAGGTGGAGTCTTGCTAAGTTGCCCAGGCTGGTCTTGAACTTCTGGGGTCAAGCGATCTTCTCACCTTGGCCTCCCAAAGTGCTGGGATGACAGGCCTAAGCCACTGTGCCAGGCTTGAGCCACTGATTTAATGCACATTTACTAAACCTATTAGGTGCTTGCTTGTGGGTAGATAGAAGGGGCAAATTAAAGTTCTCACCCTTGGGGAGTTGACTTGCGTAAGCTCAGTCCACATGAAGCACCCGGATCTCTGGGAGGCGGGGGCTGCAGTATGGGGGTGGGGTGGGGTGGGGACAGGGACTGAGGACTGGCTTCCGTGGAGGCAGTTCAGGACCCAACAGAGCAAGAGCGGGGAGGGGGCTCCTGACCCTGGGTCTGGCATTCAAGCCCTCCAGGATGTGGCTCTGGGCCTTTTGCCCCTTGGAGTCCAGGGCCCTGGGGCTGGAGAGGCTGAAGCTGGAGTGGGCGGGACAGGTAACCAGGTGGGAGGAGAAGAGGAAGTTCCAGGCCTGTACACCCGCTGTGAAAAACATGCACGGGATTTCACCGCCTAAGGAAACCAGCCTCTTGGTTTCCCCTGTTGTCCTCCTCGCAGGAGGCTTCAAGGGAAACTCTACTCACATGCGCAGAAGGGAAGAGGAAGCGAGAGCTGGAAGGCCTGTGCCTCGGGGCCCCTTGCCACAGTCTCACTTCTGCCCAGCCCACAGGCCTCAGGAGCCAGAGGCCCAGGGAGCTGCCGCCGGCACGGGGGAGGGGCAGGGGAAGTTCGAGAGTCTCTTCCTCCTGCGATCCTGTCTCTGCCTTGCTTCCCCTTTCTCTGTGGACAGATTCACTGAGCCCCACCTCTGGGAGTCAGAGTGGCTGGGCCCCTGACACAGGGCCACCAACCCACAAACCCCCGTGATGCGCACCATACCCGGCCCTGTTAACAGATGAGGAAACTGAGGCCCAGGGAGGGGAAGGGAATGGTCCAAGGTCACACAGTGAGACGGTGGGGGAGCAAGGGCTAGAATGCAGGTCTCCGGCCCCGCAGCCCCCACAGCCTTTTGGTAGGCGGGATGCACTGCCCATGCCTTCATTTGCTGCCCAAGATGGCTCCCAGGCAGGCTCCACTGCCCCTCTGCCCCCAACTCACCGATGTTTCCTACCTTGGGGCCTCTGCACAGGCTGATTCCCCTGCCAGGACTGCCCTTCCCTCGAACTGGGTGAATTTCCCATCATCTTTGAGGATTTAGTGCAAGCACTGCTTCCCTTGAAGTACATGAGGACAGGATGAGGACCCTCTCTCAGCCTGAGACCATCACTGTCGTGGTAAATCATATGCGTCATCTTGGCTAAGCTATGGTGCCCGGCTGTGTGCTTGGCTAAGCTAGATGTTGCTATGAAGGTATCCTGTAGATGTGACTCACATTTACAATCGGTTGACTTTAAGAAAAGCAGATGACCCTCCATAATGTGGGTGGGCATCAATCAGTTGAAGGCCTTAAGGGCAAACATTGAGGCTTCCCAGAGAAAGAATTCTGCCTTGAGACTGTAACTTATGAATCTTGCTGAGTTTCCAGCCCCCGGGTCTGCCCTGCAGATTTTGGACTTGCCAGCCCCCACAATCACAGGAGCCAATTCCTTAAAAGAGACCTCTCTGTGTACGTGTGTGTGTATATGTGTGTATATATATATATATATAAATATATAGTGTCTCCTACTGGTTCTATTTCTTACTCTAGAACCCTGACTGATACAATAATCACACTGTGGATCATCTCCCCTGACAGCCAGGCCACCCACAGGACAGTGACTGCAGAGGAACAGAGGGGGCCCAGCACGGGAGTGTCTCTAGAGAAAGACACCAGCGTACAGAAAAGGGAAGAGAAGGAAACTGACAGTCGCCAAGGGACCAAGACTGAATGCGGTAAGTGAGATGGAGAGTGAAACTCTTGCCTGAGAGTTCTACCAAGGCTTTGCTCTTCTCTGAGCACCTCACTCCCAGGACAGTCCTGCCTCCTCCTTGGGGTGGTGTCCAGGCAGCATAGGGAAGGGCCTCTCCAAATTAGTTAGCAAGAGCAGATGCACACTCTCAGTGACCTGACCTTGTCCGGTGAATCAAGCCAGAGGGCCCTCCCCACCCCAAGTGCCTTCTTCCTTGCCTTCCCCTGCTAATGGCAGAGTCCCCAGGAGCTCAGGCCCAGGAGCTCTGAGTGCTTTCTCACCTGACGCCCTCCCAGGTGAGAGAGCCCCTCCCACAGGGCCTGCTCTGACAACCCTCGCTCTCTTGATCCATTCCCCAGGCCCGGGTGCACCTACACCTGACCTGGGAGCCACGCCTCTGCTTCTATAAGCTGAGGGCTGAGGTGGGTCTGACTGCCACAGGGTGGCCCCTGTGTGAGGATCTCCCTCCTCTAAGAGGTCACAGTACCCTAAAACCCAAGGATATGAGGGGTGAAGCCCCCATGTCGAGGCATGAACTATTTTGATGTGACTTCTCAGACACAAACTCTTGTGAAGACAGAGACCCTGGGTCCACAGAGTTCCAGAACTGGTATCGTTTGATCAGAATGCCAATACCGGGGTCTCACTCTAGACCAGTTAAACCAGAATCTCTGGGTTCAGGGCCTGGACATGGGATTTTCTAGAGGCTTCTTAAGTGATTCTGATTCTCCAAATTATTATTATTATTATTATTATTATTATTATTATTTAGTCTTGCTCTGTAACCCAGGCTGGAGTGCAGTGGCATGATCTCAGCTCACTGCAACCTCCACCTTCTGGCTTCAAGCGATTCTCGTGCCTCAGCCACCCGAGTAGCTGGGACTACAGGAGCGCGCCACCACGCCTGGCTCATTTTTGGATTTTTTAGTAGACATGGTGTTTCACCGTGTTACCCAGGCTGGTCTCAAACTCCTGGGCTCAAGTGATCCACCCAGCTTGGCCTCCCGAAGTGCTGGGATTATAGGTGTGAGCCACCGTGCCCGGCCTCGAAGTTAATTAGCAAGAGTTGACGCATACTCTCGGTGACCTGGCCTTGCCTGGTGAATCAAGTGGGAGGCCCCTCCCCACCCCAGGTGCCTTCTTCCTCACCTTCGCCTAATGGCAGCTGCCCCACTTCCAGCCCTGGGCCTCCAAGCATAGCATACCCCCACCATCTAGGGCAGTTCATACAGAAGCTGGGCCCAGACCTATGGCCTGGCCCTCCCCATCCCCTGAAAGAACTTGGGCCAAAGTTTCCTCTCTTGGAAACATGGCTCTGCATTAAGCCTCAGTCCATCAGCCACAGGAGCAGATGTGCAAAGAACACACAAAGGAGCGCCATGGGGTAGAGTGAGGCCAGAACACAAAGGGGCAGAGAGCTTGGGCAAGTGGGGGTGGCGGGGTGGGTGTCTGAGGAGAGCCCAAGGGAATGCTGATCCCAGAAGGCACCGGGATTCTGGATGGTGCCCAGCCCCTGCCCCTAGCCTGGGGAACCCTCGCTGGCAATCAACCCCCCTTAGCCCTGAAGTGAGTTGGGTGGGCCTCTGGTTCTTATAGAAATGAGCCTGCCTAAACTAACAGGGCGTCTGCTGCACAAATTACTGTGGGCAAATGCTGAGCTGCCTGCAGAGCTGCATAAAAAGCACATGGTAGCTTCTCTTTGATGCTAAGTACAGGAGTAATGTGCCGCCTATGATCTGAAGACACCAGGATCCCAGAAGCCATGGGCCTGATCCTCCCACCTCGCAGCTCACATGCCCAGTAAACGCATGCGTGCTTCTTTACTGCAAGGGAGGGATGCTTGGCTCTCCCATGGCAGGATGGTGGCCTTGCTGAAGACCCTGTGCTTCAGCCACTTTGGCTGTGGGTCTTGGAATCTTCACCGGCAGGGCTGAAAGGAACTTTGGGGACCCTCCTGTCCAATGCCATCATTTTACAGATATGGAAACCAAGACCCCAAGGCCCCTACCCCTCAGTCAGGACTAATCTGGAGCTCTTTTTTTTTTGAGACGGAGTTTCGCTCTTGTTGCCTAGGCTGGAGTGCAATGGTATGATCTCGGCTCACCGCAACCTCCGCCTTCTGGATTCAATTGATTCTCCTGCCTCAGCCTCCTGAGTAGCTGGGATTACAGGCATGCGCCACCACGGCCTGGCTAATTTTTTTTGTATCTTTAGTAGAGACGGGGTTTCTCCATGTTGGTCAGGCTGGTCTTGAACTTCCGACCTCAGGTGATCCACCCGCCTCGGCCTCCCAAAGTGCTGGGATTACAGGTGTGAACCACTGCATCTGGCCTTTTTTTTTTTTAAGATGGAGTCTTGCTCTGTTGCCCAGGCTGGAATGTAGTGGTGTGATCTTGGCCCACTGCAACCTCCACCTCCTGGTTCAAGCGATTCTCCTGCCTCAGCCTCCCAGATAGCTAGGATTACAGGTGTGCACCACTATGCCTGGCTAATTTTTGTATTTTTTTAGTAGAGACGGGGTTTCACCATGTTTCCCAGGCTGGTCTTGAACTCCTGACCTCAGGTGATCCACCTGCCTCGGCCTCCCAAAGTGCTGGGATTACAGGCGTGGGCCACCGTGCCTGTGGAGCTCTTGACTCCTTGTGTTTCCTTCTATCCATGTCAAACATGGGGGTCACCCCCCAGCTCAGGCTCTCCCACCAGACTGTTTGCCTTCTACCGTCTGGGGACCATGAAGGTGTGCACAGGAGATTGTACGGGGCAAGGAATTTCCACCATTCAACCCACCTGCAGGAAATGTTTTGAGCTCTCAAGAGTTCTGCCACGCAGCTGTCCCTTGCCCTAGCATGCTAATAGTCAGTCAAAAGAGAGAAGACTGAAGCAAGCCTTATGCTTGTACCAATCGGTCACGACATCCCACCTGCTCCACATCCCAGTCACCTCCCATTGCTCTTGCAATCAAGCCCAAACATCTCACCAAGGGCCTCCAGAACTTGTCTGGTTGGTCCCTGCCTCCATGACAAGTCCACAACGTGCTGCTGTCCCCTCCCTCCATGTGAAGCCACGTGGACTTCATCGATGTTCTTTAATAGACCTCACCTGCACACGGCCTCTTCACACATGCTTTCCCCTACCTGGAATGCTCTTCCTCATTCCTCTCCCTTCAGCTTTCAGCCCAGGTAACACTTCCTCAGGAAGCTTGCCCGGACCCCCTGCCCCACCCTGACCAGGTCTAGACCCCAGGTCCTGTGCAATCTCAAATTTCATACTTTTCCTTCCTGGACCTTATTGTAACTTTAAATGATTTGTTAATGATTTATTTATTTATAGAATTACTTGCCTAATAGCTACCATCCCAGTTAGATTCTGGCATCCCAGTTAGATTACATTCTCCAAGGGCAGAGACCTTGCCTGTTTGCTCACCACTGCATCCCTAGCAGAGTACACAGATAGAATAAATTGTTGCCCTTTCGAGAATACCCATATTCAAGGGCAAAGAAAAAAGAGGCCCCTTGCCGAGACCAGCTTTGGACAGCAGCCAGATAGACCCTGCCCGCCTCTTTTCCCTGAGCTTTATGGCCAGTTCCTGTTCCGAGGGGGAGGGGCAGCAGGCCTCATGTTTCCAGAGGGCTCCATATCTTTCCTCCAAGTCCAGAAGCAAAGAAGCACATCTGTCCCCCAAACAAGTACACTATCCTGGACCCAGAGATCACCAGCTTCGTGTAACGGGAAAAGCAGACAAAACTTCAGCTCACAAGTTCAAGGGGACAAAGATAAGAATCAAAGGAAGTAACAATAGGACCATTCACTGCGCTTGAACTTCATCAGGGCCTGGGATGAAAGCACACCATTTCTAGCCATCGGGGCAGTCCTCTGGGATGGGGGGTACCATTTCCATTATACAGACGTGGAAACTGAGGCAGTCCCCTGCAGGCAGGATAGAGCAGGCCCCAGCTGGGTGGGCCCAGGGCCGAGACCCAGCCCTCTCCACCTCAGCTCTCAGGGATGGGCTTTCTGGGTCTTGTCTTCCTCCCCTGCCAACCTGTTTTCCCACACCGGGGCCTAATTCACACCTGGGAGCCCCTCATGGCTTCCCTTCCTCCTCACCAAGACTCGCCTCAGACCCCTCCTGCACCAAGCCCTCCGCCTTCTCCATCCCATCTTCCTCTCCCTCCATTCCTCCCCTCCTTCGGTTTCCGTGGCAACCCCATCCTCCGCTCTGCCACTCGGTCCTGCCTTCCCATCTCATCTCTTTCTTCCCTCTTTCATCTCTCCCCTCATCGCAGTGTACAGTCCAAATCCCCCTCTGTCCTTTGCCTCTGCTCTCTCGCTCCCTTTTACTCTCCTTTTATCTCCTTCAATGTTCTCTTGTCATCTCAGGGTGACATTTATTTATCTTTTGCTTAAAAATAAAAAAGAAAAGAAGGAAGAAAGGAGGGAAAAAGAAACCCCATTCCATCAGCCAGGGCTTCTCCAGATCAGTCCCGGCCTTCTCTCTCTCGGGTCATCTCTAAGGGTCAGACTCCCCACAGTGGCCAGGAGGGAGGAGACAAACCCCAGAACGGACCCCTGCCTGCCACAGGGAAGCTTCTCTATTGACCTCACCTAGGGAAGGGAGGAGGAAAACACACGGGTGGGAAGTGTGTGTTGGGGGGGCTCCCTGGGAGGAGGCATCCCAGAGAGCCTGGCCCTGCTTCTCTGAGGTCAGGGTAGGGGAGAAGCCGGCACCCACATCAGGATGAAGCAAGGGCAGGACCTAGAGCAGGGGGTAAGCCAGTGCAGAAATCCCCCATGACCAGCTCCAGGCAGGAATTCACTGCTGACTGGCGCAGGGGCTCACACCCATAATCCCAGCACTTTGGGAGGCCAAGGAGGGAGGATCATTTGAGCTCAGGAGTTCGAGACCACCCTGGGCAACATTGTGAAACCCCATTTCTACAAAATATTAACAGGCCATGATGGCACGTGCCTGTAGTACCAGCTACTTGGGGGGCTGAGTGGGAGGATGGCTTGAGTCTGGGAGGTCGAGGTTGCAGTGAGCCGTGATCACACCACTGTACTCCAGCCCGGGTGACAGAGTGAGACCGTGTCTCAAAAGAAAAAAAAAAAAAGGAATTCACTGCTGTCCAGGGAAACCCAACCATTCACCACCCCATGCTGCCTCTTCAGGCCCTACCTTGCCTTGTGTGAATGAGACACAGGGCCTGGCCCCAGGCTGAGGCACCCAGCAAATGCTCAGGGTGCCCAGCTCCCTCACTCCAAACAGGATGGTGAGATTCACCAATTCCCCAAAATACACTCTTCTATGTTTCTAAATTGCCTCTGAGTAAAGAAAGCAAAATTCATGGGCTTTCCCACCCATGTGTCTGTGCCCCGAGTTTAAGGCAGAATGAAAGGTTGCCACCTCTTTCTAATTTCTTTTCAGCCATCATTTACTGAGCTCATATTATGGACCAGGCACAAGGGACAGGCTGTCCCAGGGAGATAGACATTTTATTTTATTTTATTTTAATAATTATTATTTTTTGAGGCAGAGTCTCTCTCTGTCGCCCAGGCTGGGGTGCAGTGGCGCCATCTCAGCTCACCGCAACCTCCGCCTCCCCGGTTCAAGCGATTCCCCTGCCTCAGCCTCCCAAGTAGCTGGAATTACAGGCATGCGCCAACACGCCTGGCTAGTTTTTTTGTATTTTTAGTAGAAATGGGGTTTCACCATGTTGGCCAGGCTGGTCTCGAACTCCTGACCTCAGATGATCTGCCCACCTCGGCCTCCCAAAGTGCTGGGATTACAGGCGTGAGCCACCGAACCAGGCCCAAGATAGACGTTTTAATTTTCATTTTACAGATGAGCAAACTGAGTCTTAGAGAAGCTGTGATTTGTCTACGTCACAGAGCCAGTAAGAGATAAAGGCAGGATTGGAGCTGATTATAATCACATTCTTCCCCATTTACTCCTCTTCTTCCTGTGTTCCTGGGAGGACTGAGGTCACATCACTCCGAGTCCTCCTTAGCTCAGCCTCCTCCTGGCTTCTCCATTGCTGTTTTTAATCTCGAGTGATCAGAAATGACAGGAGAAACAAAGATCTGGGAATGGAGATTGACTGCAGAAAATGAAGCAAACCGATGATGGCTGTGGCCCCAGCATCTCAAAGTGACCAAGAGAAGAGATGCACTGGTGGAAAATGGGATCAAGTCCCCTGCGACAAAAAAAAGTCACATGGGGATGAAGAAAGGGGCCCTAGGTCTTCAGGAGCCCTCGAGCTGTGTGAGTGTCTGGCTGCAGGTGAGAAGCGTTGCTGCGCCAGGGATCAGGCCAGGGAGGGGCCATGGTATTGGTAGTCCTCCACTAAAAGGCTGGCTCAGCACCTCCTGGGCCCCAGGAGCAAGGTCCGAGGAGGGGGAGATGAGAAGCAGCAGAGGTGGGGAGGAAATGGGGAAGGACAGCCCCTTCCTCTGCAGGTGGTAGAAGGGAGGGATACATGGTTCTCAGTCCAGCAGACCTGTCCTCCACCCCCAGCTCTGCCACTTAGGAGCTGTACACCCTCAGGCAAGTGTCTCAACCTCCCTGGGATTTGGTTTCCTTGTCTGTATAGTGACAGGAGAAGGGTCTAATCACTGAGCCCTTCCTTTCAGCCTGGAGTTGTGCCTGTTGAGATCATTTTTATACAGCACAGAATCTTGACAACAAAACGTATTTACAGAGGAGGAAACCAAGGCACAGGAGTTGAGTGATTCACCCACGGTTACCAGGTACACCAGAGAATAAGTGGAGTTGGGTCTAACCTAAATGCCTCTGCTTTTATTAATTAATTAATTATTATTATTATTTTGAGACAAAGTCTCACTCTGTCGCCAAGGCTGGAGTGCAGTGGCGCCATCTCAGCTCACTGCAACCTCTGCCTCCCCAGTTCAAGCGATTCTCCTGCCTCAGCCTCCCAAATAATTGGGATTACAGGCACCCACCACCACACCCAGCTAATTTTTGTATTTTTAGTAGAGGCAGGTTTTGCCATGTTGGCCAGGCTGGTCTTGAACTCCTGACCTCAGGCGATCCGCCCGCCTCAGCCTCCCAAAGTGCTGGGATTGCAGGCGTGAACCACTGCGCCTAGTCTGCCTGTGCTTTTAAGATAAAGGAGATAAGGGAAATGATGTGTTTCATAAGGGCTGATGCATAGTAAGGACCCAGTTACTGGGAGTGACCGCTAATTTTTTTTTTTTTTTTTTGAGACGGAGTCTGGCTGTGTCGCCCAGGCTGGAGTGCAGCGGCACGATCTTGGCTCACTGCAACCTCCGCCTCTCGGGTTCAAGCGATTCTCCTGCCTCAGCCTCCCAAGTAGCTGGGACTACAGGCATGTGTCACCACACCCGGCTAATTTTTGTATTTTTAGTAGAGATGGGGTTTCACCATGTTGGCCAGGTTGGTCTCCAACTCCTGACCTCAAGTGATCCGCCCACCTCGGCCTCCCAAAGTGCTGGGATTACAGGCGTGAGCCACGGTGCCCCAGCCTGTGCAATTGCTATTATTATTGTTCCTATCATCCGGCCAGGCTGGTGCTGGGTGCTGGTGAGGCACAAAGATCCCCAGTCTCAGGACCTCACAATTTGGCTAGAGACAAGATTAAGAACCACAAAATAGTAGTGGAAAATATCACATAGGAAATAAGCAGTAAATAAATGTGCTTAAAAAAAAAAAACAAACTTAAGGTATCAGGAATGTTCTTCCATATAAATGGACACTTTGGGAGGCAATAAACTCAGGGCATGGGCCGCAGGGTCAGACTGCAGTCTGGCCCCACCACTCACACCTTGGTCTGTGTGTGCCTCAGTCTCCTCATCTGTGGCATGAGATAATGGTTCTCACTTCCTGGAGTTGTTAGGGGGTTTAACTGAGCCCGTTAGACAAATGAGGATGATCTGTGGTGTTTATTACCCAAAGGTTGGGTGGAGGGGTCCAGGGAGGCCTAGAGAAGGGAGAAGCTGATTAGGAAGACCCCTTCCCCCATAGACCCAGCCAGAGAGGAGGGCCTGCCCAGGCTGGAAGCATGGGACGGAGAAGGGAAGGGAAAGCGGACAGAAGCGCAGGAGGTAGGGAAGGTGCTGAGGTCTGAGGGCAGGTGAAGAGTATGGCCTGGGCACAAGCCCTCTCCGTTCTCATGGCAGTGTTATGACTCCTCCCTGGGCCTCCATGCCAGCAGAGCCCCTGGCAGCAGCTGCCTCCCGAAGCCACTACTGTAATCAACATTTATTTTGCAGTCACCCACACACCCAGCTCGAGTACGGATTTATGCCAGGAGGAGTAAAGAATGCCTCTCTCATTCACGTAATGCCTTCATGTATCTCCTGGGGGGAGGGACAGCTGGTGCAACGTATCAGCTGATAGCGTACACACGCAGACATCAGACACATGCGGCCGTCCACACAGGCTATCATCAGAGGCAGGCAGGAGCAGCGCGCAAAGCCATGCCTTCCTCAGTCACCTAACAATGATACTTTCATGCAGTGAGCTGAGGGGTAGGACCTATGCAAGGGGTGGAAGCCTGGGTACCCACACTGGACCCTGCAGTTGAGCTGCGGAGGGAGATGCTCGCCTCAGATAAGAAGTTCAGAGAAGGCGGGAGCCACATGATGGGCATCCCAGCCAGGAGCTCCTGGGTCTGCTCATTACTAGGAGCTCACAAAGGAGGAGGCCAAGGCAGCCTGTTGGCTGCAGGGTAGAGGAGAGGCGGGAGGAGAACCAGAGGGCAGTGGGGCCTGGGAAGGAGAGACGGAAGAGGGTCTCGAGGGCAGGACCATGGATGTCACAGGGGAGGGTACCCAACGTGGTCAGCTCAGCCCAGAGCAGGAACTAGTTTCCTCTTCAATCCGGATCACAGAGGATGACCTGTAGGAGCTTGGAAGCCCTGTCTGCAGGGTGGTAGGCTCTGGGCCATGTGTCCCAGATGCTGGAATTCAAATGCATGTGTGTGACCCAAGGGCGAAAGTGACTTTAGTAGAGGGGATGATTATAAAACAAGCGAATGGCTGGCTGTGACTAGTGGTGTGAGGGTTTCCGTCCCCTCTGCCTGCGGTGCGACTGACTGTGGGGTTGAGGCCCCTCCGGCCAGGCCATGGAGGTAGGGTGGGGCCCCTCAGCAATTGGAAGCTCTAGAATTGGCCTGGCCACCTCCTCGCTGTACTGCTTTGGGCAAGTTGCTTCATCTCTCAGGGCCTCTGTTTTCTCAACTGCAAAATGGGGATAACAGCTGCCTTCCCCACAGGATGGTAGAGAAGATTCAATAAGGTAATGCAATGGGATATGCCTGGAACTGGGGGCTGGCTTCTGATAAATGGTCAGTTTAAGCCTTTACACCACAATATATGTACACATACAATATGAGTCACCCAGGGCCCCTAAACATTTGACATGTTCTCACTATCACTAAAAATATCTAAATCCCATGAAGGAGTGGGGAGAGGACGAACACTTGGAAAAAGTAATGAGATCAAGTGTAAGGAAGGACAGAGATGCTGGGAATGGACCCGGTCCCACGGAAGGTTCTAGCTCAAGTCCTTGGTCCACACGGGAGCCCCTGGGTTGCCAGGAAATGGGCAATCTCAACCCCAGTGCCTGTGGGGCTGTGAGGGTCCCTTGGGCCCCAGAACCTGAGGAGGACCCTGGAGAGGCGGGAAGGCATCTTCTGTGGGCTTCTAGAAGTCTCGTCACAGATGCTACCTCTTTTCTGAAATTTTACAACTCATCCAGGTAGCTCAGAAGACCACATTCCTAAACGAAGTACAAGATCCAACTCTCCTCACCAGAGTGTAGATAATCTCTTTCTGGGATCACACTCCTGCCAGCTGGAATGACCCACTCCTCAGCAAACAAACGCAGCTCAGATGGGTCAGAGGGAAGGGCTGGGTCCAAGAATGGGACCCCCACCCTGCCCCGTGCTGGCCCCGACCCCTGAAACCAAAACGCCCAGAAGCTTCTTGTGTGAAGCCCACACGCACTCACATGTGCACAGCCAGGAAGCAAGTCACCCTCCTCCCTGTGCTGATGCCAGGGCTTCGTCCTGGCTCTGAAGCACTCAGGGCCTGCCCCTGGGAACCCCGTGGGTTCTCTCCTCCAAATGCCCCCAGCTCTGGGTGCCAAAGTGAAGAAGGAAACACAAGATCTCCTGGGACTCAGAAAGACAGGCTGGGCAAGAGAATGAGCAGGCCTGCTCACACAGCTACAGCCCTCTGCAGTTTACAAAGCTTTCCCAGGCATGAAGTCATGGGATGCTCCCTGCCAGGTTCTGCACTGGCATCTGAATGGGCAGCACCTGTGTGGGCTCTTATTCCTAATGGCAAAACCGACGTTCACAGACTGGCTGGCTGCCCTGAGAGTGACAGTGCCAACCTGGGCCAACTTTCAGCACAGTGTGTCATTTAATCCTGACTGCAGCCTATGGCTGGTACTGGTGCCATCACCCTGTTTTACAAATATGGAAACTGAGGCACAGAACGGTTAATAGCTTTAGAACATTGCTCCTCACAGCACGACCCTCGAGCTCTGGGACTGCTTCCAAATACATAAGCGTAGCCTTAGAAACTTGGCTGGGTGCAGTGGCTCATGCCTGTAATCCCAGCATTTTGGGAGGCCGAAATGGGTGGATCATTTGAGGTCAGGAGTTCAAGACCAGCCTGGCCAACATGGTGAAATGCCGCCTCTACTAGAAAAAATACAAAAATCAGCCCGGTGCGGTGGTGCATGCCTGTAGTCCCAGCTACTCGGAGGCTGAGGCAGGAGAATCATTTGAACCCGGGAGTTGGAGGTTGCGGTGAGCTGAGATCGCACCACTACACCCCAGCCTGGCGACAGAGCAAGACTCTGTCTCAAAAAAAAAAAAAGAAAAAAGAAAAAGAAAAGAAACTTGTATAGCAATGTGAAAATGCTGTGATATTTGAGCCAGGTTGATAAAGTATTAGTCTGTGAGGCGTAGAAATGGACTTTAAAAAACCCCACCAGGTTTTGAAGCACCGGTTTAGATCCAGACTCTAGAGTTGAAGGCCTGAGTTTGCATCCTCTGCTACTTCCCAATGGCATGACTCTTTCTCCTTACTAAAGTGGGGTGGTACCAAGAGCACCTGCCTCACCAGTTAAAATATGTAAAGTGCTGAAAGCAGAACCTGGCACGCTTGTGGTGTTTGCTGCTATTATTAGCACTCAGCAGCTCGCCTGGGCCACACGTTAGTTACGGGAGGAGCTGGACTCCTTGATGCCAGTTCTTAGGGGAGAATCGACTGCTAGGTGCCCTGCCACCTGGGAAACTGGGGCCCTGGAAACATGCCTGCCTCAAACTCGGACCCTCGTCCTGTCCCCACCCACCCCCAGAACCTCTTTCATCTCTAGGCCAGCGTGGCTGTGCGTGGGCATCTTCATGGGCGTAAGGAGACGTTCTTGCCCAAACTGGAAAAACCTGATGGCCTTGCAGGCCTGCCCTGGCAGCTTCCGGGTTGCCAGCAGTATGCTGAGAAGCAGGTGGGGCCAGGAAGAGCAATGGTGGCCTCCTCCCCTGGGCCCAGGCTCAAATCTCTATGGTGCCTGCCCCAAAGCCATCTTGATCCCTTTCCTGGAGCATAAATCCCAAACGTCCCTAGATAAGCAGACTCCCTGCTACCTTTACCCACACCACAGCTCATCTTGTCTTGGTCACCCAGACTCAGAGGGAGGACAGCCTTTTCCCCAACCCCTTTGGAGCCCCAGACCCTCCTCCTGGGAAGTGGGTGTTAGCACCCAACTTGCACATAGTAGGGGCTCAGCACCATATCACGGGGCTTCAGATCCACCTCCCTCATTTCCACATCCAACTGACACTCTTCCTCTACCTGGGTCTGGTCACTACTGATGAGTGGGCTCATTGTCCCCACCCGTCTGGGTGTCTGGCTTGGTCACTAGCCCTTCCTTCTCCTGCCGCCCTCCATACCTGGCACTGACTCGTCCCTCCGCCCTCCTCCACCCTCCTCTAGTCTTCTTGGGGAGGATATGGCCCCTTCCCTGAGGCCCTGGGCTCTGCGGGGCAGGGATAGGACTCCCCTTTGCATAAGGCTTTACAATTTACACAGCACTTGGCTGTGAGCTGTACTGTTTCCACTCTACATCTGCTAACAACATGCAATTCACACTTCAGCAAACATTCATGAAGCGCCTACTATGGGCTGGGCACTGAGCTGGGTACGCAGGAGGAAGGGCACACAGGGTTCTGCCTTGGGAGGGTCCTGCCGGCCACACCTCCAGGCCTGATGGCTTGTGCCAGCACACCTGGGCCTGGAGCCCTCATCTCACATAGCCCAGGCCACTGACATCTCAGGGCTCCCTCCCAGAGGTAGCTTCCTTCTGCAGAGAGCCCTGTGTCCCCCCAGAGACCATGCCTTTTCCTGGGGCCCCTGGGAACCCTGGCTGGACGGGAGCCCCACAAGCTTTCTCTGTGGCCCTGGGGGACCCAGAGTGTGACCAGGTCCCTTTTTCTGTGCTTTGAGGAGGTACCCAGGGTCTTCCAGGCCCGCTGCCCGACGTGCCCCTTCTACAGGGCAGAAATGTGCCGAGACATGCGGTAGGTCCTCCAGAAGAGACCTGGCCCCTGCTACCTCGCGTCTCTTCCCTCTCTGGCCTCCAGCTCAAAGCTTTCATGCACCACAGCCCGCTGCAACCCTGGCAATGTCCGATTTCTTGTTTTCTCTCCACCCCCTAAACTGGGGCCAGATCTATGTCCTCCATCACCTCCTCAAGCTCTACTCTATGATATCTGTCCCCTCCACCAGAGCTCAGCTGTCCTCTGGAAGGTGGCAGCCCTTTGCCAAACACAGGAGCTTTGAGCTGGGCCTCCTCCTCATCTGGCAGCAGCCACACAACCCTCTCTGAGCTCACAGGCCACGCACCACCACCACTCCCTGGCCTCCTGCATCCCAGCGGCCCCTGGGCTCAGGCCTTGGCCTGAGTGGACTCCCTCAGAGAAACCATCTCTCATGGCTTCTGCGCTCACCTCAGTGTTGACCTCACTAGAGCTGCACCCTTACCCAGGTCCGCAACAGTTCCCAGACGGCAAACCTGTCAGCCGTCACTGTCTAACCTCTCCATGGCTCACGTCCTTGAAGCCATCCGCCATTTCCAGCTTCCTTCTTTCTGCTGTTCCAGTTGACCAGGCTCAAGCTCTGAGGTCACTGTAGAGTGACTGAGGTTTTGCAAGGCTTTTCTGCCTGGCAAACATGGACAGCACACCATTCTCCTAGGAGCTAGAGAGATGAAGACAACAGTCTCCGCCCTCCAGCAGCCACAGTAAATGGATGATTACCTTAGTGAGTTGACAGCTATGACATACAACTCCCAGGAGATGGATAAAGGGAGATGTGATTAAGTCTTATGTGGGGGAGTCAAAGGGGGAGGTGACACCTGAGCAAGGTTTTGTAGGTTGTGTAGGAGTTCAGCAGGCAGACTAACAGAAGAAAGGCACTCTGGGGGAGGGAGCAGTGATTGTAATGTGGAGGTGTGACACAGTGCGGGGGTTTGGCCTACACAGGTATAAACACACCTCAAGAGTAGGCAGGGCCACCTTTACTCCTCAGACCACAGTGACTGGTGGCCCCTGGGGATGTAGAAAGTGCTGGCCTTGCTGCGGTGCTATCCACTGACCCATGCACACAGGAGAGGAGCCACTGCTTTAACAGGTAAAGTAAATGTGCTAACCAGGCACACGCACATGCCTGATTGACAAGCATATGTCGGCTCTCAGAGGAGGTTCGTTTCCACAGGTTTAAAGAAAAATAAAGAGGCCTACAGGGAAAAAACCAAACTGTTCTGTTTGGATAATTTAGGAAAACCTGAGTGAAAATTCTCTATAGCTCCCAGGTGACATTTTGAAATCCCTCTGATGCGTGGGACACATGTGTCCCTGTCACAAAGGATGTGTCAACACAGGCTGCCAAACCCAAGGTGGCGGGCCCCTTATTTGGTGAGGGTTATCCAGCTCAGCTGTCGGTCCAGCTTGTGTCGTGTGGACCGGCCCCCTTCCTCACACTCAGCCCCTGTGTCATGTTCACACGGACGCCACCTAGCCCCGCCTTGGCAGGGAATGGCGACACCACGCTCCGCCAGAGTGGGGAGGCCCGTGGGACCACATCCGCCTCTGCCTTCACCCTCATCTTGAGCCCCATATTGGGCCAGGCAGAAGGGAAGGATGCCAAGGCCATGTCTAGATCCTGCCAGTCCCACCTCACGCCTTCAGTCACCTATCCCTGCTGACCCACTCAGGACTCCTCCTGTGTGACGAACAGGTCCCTACGGCTGGTGGAGACCCCCAAACACCCTTCCCTCTTTAAAGCAGGAGCCTAAAAGAAAACAGTGTCTTCAACAGGTTTTTGTTGTTTGTTGTTGTTGTTTTACACATTTAGAGCAATGGAGAAAAAACATATTCTCCCTCTCTCAAATAAACCCACTTCCCTACTGGTCTCTTCCCTTGAAAACAGAAGCACTATTCAAAAAGAAAAAGAAAAAAGAAATTTAAAAGGGAGAGAGAGAGGCAAGAGGGGAAAAAAAAAGGAACTGAATAGAAGAAGAAAAAGGGGAAAAAAGAGGGAAAGAGAGTGAAGCCTAAGGGAGGTGGTGAGGGCTCAGAATGAAAGGCAAAAGTGAAGGGAAGGAAGGCAGAGACACAAAGGGCGGGGGAGAGAAAGACAGAAGCTTTGAAAGAAAGAATGTTCTAGCGTGAATGCAGCGTGCAGGGGAGAAAGGCCTGCTTGAAAAGGAGCAGCCTGAAGCAGTGACCCCTCATTCACAGGCGGTGCCAATCACGGTGACAATGCAAACCCTTTCTTCTTTTCTCCTTCTCTCCTTTCTGGGGAGGGAGAGGCTGAGCACTGCAAGTTAATTCCTAAAAGTACAAAAAATAAATTCAGTTCCACTGGAGAAACATCAAAGAGCTGCTGTAAAGGCTTCCCCGAAACAGGTTACACCCCCAAGGGGAGTTGCTCCCTCTCCAGGGGCGCCACAGGCCGGCAGCCATCAGCTTTATTACAGGGTCGGCTGCTCCCTGCCCTGGCCGCCTGGCTGTGGCCTCCTCCCATAGGGTCCTGGGTGAGCCAAGGGAGAGAGCCCTGGCCTGTGATGCTGTGCACAAGGCTCAGTCTCCAAAGGCAGCTCGGCCCCCTGGGTGCCCGCAGGTCTCCTCTATGAGAGCCCTCGGGCCCTTAACCAGGTAGCGGGGCAGATGAGGGGGTTCTCAGTGAGGCAGCTGCCCTGGCTGGAGGTGAAAGCCGTGGCAACTCACCCTGCCTGGGCCGTGTCCACCCAGTTCTCCGGCTGCCTGCACACAGGAGGTGCTCGGTCCCCGGTGGGGTGTGGGGTGAAGGGCATTCTGAGTCAGCCCTGGGATGGGCTGTCCCCTCGAGGGACTGCTCCAAAGAAGCCCGCCGCCTGCTCAGGCTGGGCCCTCACTCCAGGAGGGTAAGCGGGTGGGTTGGCTCTTTTTACAGGCCACCAGCTGTTGGGTCTATGTCACTCACGAGGGAGGGCCTCTTTGGACGTTGAGGCGTGTTCTCACATCACGGGTCACCGCCGACCAGCACCTTCCTGAGTTAGCCAAGACCCAAAGGCTGGGTGCAATATACGTGCCCTAACCTGGATTTAGATTTCCTGTCCTTCCTGGTTGGGCCTCTGTTACACACCAGATCGTGCCGGCAAATGCCCACACACAGCCCTCAGTCTAGTGACCGTGTGTCTCCCAAAATGTCCCTCTGCGATCACAGGTGAGTGTTCCCTGTCCCCCTTCTTTGTCTTCCCTTCTCCTGCTGTCTCTCAGTACCTAGCGAGTCATGACGAAACCTGAAATGGGGTCACCTTTACGCAGCAGCTCCTTTTTCCTTCTGATCATCCAAACGCTAGATAATGAGAAACGCCGGGGAGCAGAGAGGCTGAGTGGAGGAAGACTGATTGGTTTATTGATTGATTGATTGAGCGAGTCTCAACCTTACTCATCTACTGAGCGCTCAGTCTGTGTGGAGCTCAGTGGTGTGGGCTGGGATTATAAAGCGACAAGGACCAGTCCGGAGCCCTGAGGTGCTTGGGGCCAACCTAATGCTGCCTGGAGGGGGTGGGGGGGAGACACAATGGATCAGGGAAAGAAAACCCTTCCTTTCCATCTTTATCTGGAAAAGGCTGTTATTTCGCTGGAACAGGCCCCAGGAGGGCCTCCGAACCCAACAAGGAGGCTGGAGAGAAGGGGGGGCATGGAAAATACAAAGAGGCACAGGGGCCGGGCACGGTGGCTCTCGCCTGTAATCCCAGCACTTTGGAAGGCTGAGGCGGGTGGATCACCTGAGGTCAGGAGTTCAAGCCAGCCTGGCCCACATGGTGAAACCCCATCTCTACTAAAAATACAAAAATAAGCCAGACGTGGTAGTGGGCGCCTGTAATCCCAGCTACCTGGGAGGCTGAGGCAGGAGAATCACTTGAACCCGGGATGCAGTGGTTGCAGTGAGCTGAGATCATGCCACTGCACTCAAGCCTGGGCAACAGAGCGAAACTCTATCTCAAAAAAAAAAAAAAAAAAAAAAATCAAAAACAAAGAGGCATGGGGCAGATATTTAACCTAGCCACCAGCAGCCTATAAAATCACTGTTGTGCTTCCATTTGACAAAGGCAAATCCCACAAATATTTGTTGAGCACCTACCATGTGCCATCCAGCTCCTGTGCATTCCTAGGGAGATAGCAGTGCACAAGACTCGGTCCTGCCCTTAAGAACTTATGGTGTTGTGAGAGCAACAGGCAAGAAAACAGGCAATTTTAATTTGGTGTGTAAAGGCTGCGTTAGAACAAGAACAGAGGAGGGGCAGACTTAGAGAGGCTGGAGGTTCAGGGAAGCTCTTTCAGAGGAGGTGGCATGGAGTTATTTTAATATATTAAAGTGAACAAAATTTTCATTTGCTTTGAAAAAGATATAAAGAATTTCACTGGTGGCCAGGCCCAGTGGCTCATACCTATAATCCCAGCACTTTTAAGAGCCCAAGGGAGGAGGATCGCTTGAGCCTGGGAGTTTGACACCAGCCTAAGCAATATAGTGAGACCTCACCTCTACAAAAAATAAAAAAATTAGCCAGGCATGTTGGTGCATGCTGGTAGTCTTAGCTACTCTGGAGGCTGAGGTGGGAAGATCACTTGAGCCCAGATGTTGGAGCTGTGATCATGCCGCTGCATTCTAGCTTGGGTGACAGAGTGAGACCCTATCTCTAAAAACCAACCAAACAGACAAACAAAGAGAAAAGAAAAGAATTTAACTGGCAAGATACCTAGGTGTCTAGAAAAAAAAAACAGAATTGATCAGTGAACCAATAGATAAACATCCAATAGATGTTTTCCTAATCTGTTGGTGTATTAGGAGGAATCAGAAGCACAGAGAAAAGTAACGCAGTGAGAACAAAAGAAACAATAATGAACTCTTGTTTTAAAGAAGTAATCGTAGTTCAGTGCCATGTTTAGCAGTGAATAGTATTTATACTGTGGGCTTAACCCAAAATTGCGACCTAATGATAAAACTAAGAGAGGAGGAGGAGGAATGATAGGGTGGTGGAGAGATAAGTCCTCACTTGCAACAATATGGAGGCAAAAGATAATGTCCGAAATTGATAAATCAAGAAATCACTGGAGTAACATATTATTTCAGAACATGGACGTAAATAACAGGAAGGAGGAAGTAAGCAGTTTGCAAATGGTTAACTGGCTGGAGGGCTGGAGTTGGGGAGCGAGGTGGGGCGGGGCCTGCTGCTTTAGCACTAGAAGCCCATCAGTATTGTTTGATGTAAAAAAAGATGCATATATTACTCTGATAAAAAACAAAATTAAAAGCAAGCAAACAAGCAAAAAAGGCTTGGTAAAGGAGTCACTGTGAAGTCAAATCGGGATCACTGTGAACTCCCGGAGCATTAAGCCAAGAAACAGAAGGGGCACTGTGCTTATGAACTGATGAGAACAGAAATTCCTTCAAGAAAGAACAGAATTCAGGGAGCTGCTGCCCAAGGTGACACATTTGGGTGGAAGAGGCTGGAGGGCTTGTACCTTGCAGGGAAAATCTGCGGAGTGTTCACATGTGGCTTTAACAACCCCATCCGGAGCACTAAGGACACCTCCCTGGAGACTGGGGGATCTGGGTACCAGGGTTTCTGCTGTTGCCTAGAGCTGGGGACCAGATCCTCAGACACGACTTCCTCAACAAAGGCGGTATGATCTACGTGCAGAGGAGGCAGTGGCCACAGTGCACAGGCCTGAGGCCTGGGTGACCTCACCCAGCCACAGCCCAAGCTGGCATGGTCATCCAGCAGTATGGCCACCATGCACAAAGTGCCCCCAGGCTCTGGTTCTCACTGGCATGCTGACTGTTTCCTCACCAGGCACCTCTGCTGTACATTATGGTCTTTCCTAATATGTGATAGCAAGATTACACTTGTCCAGAGATCTCTTCTCTGGCCACCTCAAATTTCCCCCAAAAGACTTAGAGAACTGCAGAGCATATGAAAAAGTTGAGAGTCCAGAATGAAACAGATGTGGGTGACTCGAAGAGGGGACTTTGGTGTCCCAGGCACTTTTTTCTTTATGGGACAGCGCCCCTTGCTTGGAGGCTTTGGACTCAGTTCTAACAAGCACGGTTATCCAGTTTCCCAGACCACGGCAGATGCAGAGGAAACCCAAGGAGGTGAAAGAGGTGCCACTCGCTGCTGGAGGCTATGATGGTGGCTGGCTAGGGTGCAGGCTGAAAATGACCCAGTGACAGTTTATGGCCATTAGGGGTGGGGCAAGCAGCTTGGACACCTCCATACCTGAGCTCAGCACCGAGGGCTCCTAATCATGACTTGCAGTCATCAAGATGGATTGGACTGTATTAGATTACATTCAATACTCGGTTGAGCACTCAGCCAAGCACGTATTGGATCCAGGAGTGAAATGAGGTGAGACCACCTCATCCAGTCGTGGGGCAAGACTCCCAGCTGTCACTGCAGAAAGCCCCACAGTGGGTCACAAGGCAGGGATCTGGTCCACTTTTGCCTAAGATAGTGGACCTGGGCATGGCCTCAACCTCTCAGAATCCCACCCACGAAATGAAGAGAACATCTGCCCTGCCAGTGAAATCATCAGGTGAAATCATCTGTACACATCAGAAGCACTTTTTTTTTTTTTTTGAGACAGTCTCGCTCTGCCATCCAGGCTGGAGTGCAGTGGCACAATCTCAGCTCACTGCAACCTCCACCTCCTGGGTTCAAGCGATTCTCCTGCCTCAGCCTCCCGAGTAGCTGGGGTTACAGGCGCCTGCCACCACGCCTGGCTAATTTTTGTATTTTTAGTAGAGATGGGGTTTCACTATGTTGGCCAGGCTGGTCTTGAACTTCTGGCCTCAAGTGATCCACCCCCTCTGGCCTCCCAAAGTGATGGGATTATAGGCGTGAGCCACCTCACCTGGCAGGAAGCATTTTATACATAACATGTCATGTTACCAAAGCCATTGCTTTTTCTGGGTGGCTGGACAGGATGCCCCACAACACACACAGGGACAGACAGCCAAAGAGATAGCCTCTCTGCCTTAGGACTTTCCTGGACACAATGAAGCAATTATCAGGTGAGTTTTGAAACTATGCAAACTTAACCTGAACATATTCGATTACACAAATCTATTGTGTAACACAGCTGGCCTTCCTGGACTCTTCAAAGCCAATGTCTCACACACACACACACACACACACACACACACACAGAGCAGGGAGGCTGTTCTAGATTAAAAGAAGGTAAAGAAACGCAACACCCAAATGTAATGCATGAAGATTTTTGGATCAGGAAAACAGCCATACGAAAACATTTTTGGAGTTCAACTGGGGAAATATGAATGGGTTGTAGATTGGATATTATTGGACAGTGGTAATTTCTTAGGTGTGATGATGGCACCGTGGTTGCAAATGGGGAAGTCCACACTCCTGAAAGATACCTGCTGACGTACTTAACGGTGGGCTGTCTGCAACTCACTTTCAAATGACTCAGCAAAACCACGTGAAAGAGAGTGAGATAAAGAAAACGTGGCAAAATGGCAACAATGAGTGAATCTGGACGAAGGTTCTTAACTTTTCTGTCAAGTTTGAAAATTTCAAACTAAAGAGTTAGGAGGAAACACACCACGTGGGTGAGTTGTGACTTATTCTTTGTGTCTGTGGGGCCAGCCTTTGGCTTGTTTCCCAACCTGCTCCATGATGAAAGTGATGCACTGGTGATAGAGAGAGGGGCCTGCTACAGTGCTCCTGATCTGCATGGCACACATAGAAAATCATATTTGGACCGTACACTGGGGTAATCGGGCAAGGCTGGTCCAAACCATCCACAGACCCACCCAGCCCAGCCGACTGCGGGTCGAGGGGAAATCAGTACCTGGGCACCACTTAGCGGCCCCAGCACTCACTTTGGTACAGCACCCTGGCTGGAAGGCCAGGCCTGTGGTTAAAGGGGAGTAGACACCAGACCCTCACTGCCTCTTCACCTCCTCATCAAGGCCTCCCTCGGGGAATTCGTCTCTCCCTGCTCAAGCCTGTCTCTTACAGCTCTGGAAGCCTAGCGACCGTATTAGAATACTCTATGCTTAGGCCCACTGCTCCCTCGAGATCCAGAGTTCTTTGAGGGCAGAAGCCCGACATCCCTCATCTTTAAGCACAGATTCTGGCACCCCACATCCAAAGGTCAGAGAAAGAGATCCAGCCTGCGATGCTTATGAGTGCTGAAGATGCTCTCATAATTGTGGCATGCTTGGGTCAGAGATCATTTCCTCAGAAGCATTCCAGCTCAGCCCTCACTCCATCCTAGCTGGTGGTGTCCAAGGCTGAAAAGCCCAAGCTCTGCTACCCAAGCTCTGAGTACCACCAGTGGTGGTACTCGCTGGTGACTGAGACTCAGTTTCCTCTTCTGAACTAGGTCCCTTCCAGCTGACTCTCTAGGGACACCTATGCTTAGTGCTCCCCTAGTTCCTTCTGTCCAGGGGCCTGGGGCTGACTGAGCAAGGCAGCCTTCCCATCAGTGGAGAAAAGCCCCAGTGGAAGGAGCGGTTCCTGACACTTTCGAAAGCCCTCCTGGGGATTCCCAGTCCCAGTGGCCCTGGGAGGGCAAATGCCAGTGCCAACACCCAGGCTGGACCAGGGACTTTCTTCCAAGGGAAGGGGAGAACCAGGAAGAAGGGTTGGAGAGCTAAACTTAAAAACAGCGTGTGGGCCACCCGGGGAATGAACCTGGAACAACTTTGATAATTTTTAAAAGCCCTTCGAATAACTCCAGTGTGCACCAGGATTGAGACACTCCACCCCCACCCCGAGCCCCTGCCAGGTCCTCCAAGCTGAGCCAGGCTTTGAACCCAGCCCCACTTCCCGTCCTCCCCACCATGCCTGACCTCCCATCTCCAGCCTGACCCTGGAGCTGGCTCTTGCTTGTGCTATTCTCCTGCTCTCCACCTCTCCAGAATTCTTGCGTTCTTTGAAATGTGCTTGAAGTGCCTCTTTAGCAACCTGGGCTGCCTCTCTAGGAGGGCCGGAGAATTCCCCGATGTGAACTGGGAACAGTGGCTGGAGATGGGGTCACCGAGGCAGACAGAGCCTTGAAGGCCATGTCTGGATGCCATTCTCAGGCATGGGAAGCCAGAAGTAACACGATCCCATGCATGTTGCTGAAGACCCTTCTGGTTCCTGTGTGAAGAGGATGAGGGGGGCCAGGACTGTGTCTTGGGCTTATCTATTTAACCCTTTCCCATGCCCTGCCCCACCCCCAGCTCGAGGCCTGCATGGGAGCCACAGACCTTGGGAATGATGGCCAGGTCTGTCACTAGAAATAATGGAGCAGGCTTTCTTTCCACTGCGGCCAGTAGGACTGACAGCTGAATGTGGGGAGGAGGTGGTGAGTGATGAATGCTCACAATGAGAATTCATTCCAGGCTCCCAATGGGGAGAGACCATCTGGACAGAGCCAGAGGCCACTGAAGGGACGTCCCTCGGTGGGGAAGACGCTGGCTCCAGCCACTTCAGAGAGAGGCTTCGGAAACCCAAGGAGCACTCGCCTGGTGTCATTCAAAGGAACATTAAAATCGAACAGCGCCAAGTGAATGGAAGAGAAATGTTATACAGCAAACCTGTGAAAGGGGTTCCCCCAGATAAAAGCAAGGGAAAGAGGGAGAGAGAAACAGAGGCGGAGGGGGTGGGGGGCGGGCGGCAAGAGTGGAGGGGAAGAAAGGAGGAACGGGAGGGGAGTCTCAAAGCTTTCTGAGTTCACAAAGAAAGAAGGAAACAGGGTAGAGAAGAACAAAAAGGAGAAGGTGAAGTGCTTGCGCTTCGAAGTGGAAGTCACTCCAGCTCTTGAGAAAGCTGCTTGTGGGGCCGGATGGGGCGAGTGCGTCTCAGGATGCCAAGCAGCTCTTCTACCAAAGAGGACCCAATCCTGCCACCCTTGGAAGCATGAGGACTTCACAAGGCTGGGAAACGCTGACTCCAGGCTGCCTTGGGGGCATGCAATGGTGCCACTGCCTGGGGCCCCACGTGTAGAAGGAAGGGCTCACATTTGGTTTCGTGCTCTGCTGTTCTTTAAATTTTACTGACTTTTAAACATGAGACCTGCATTTTCATTTTACACCTGGTCCTGAAAATTATGTAGCCAGTCCTGGCTGACCTTTCCAGAGGACATTTTTGCTAGAAGGCGGGTGCAGGAAGGCAGCAGGCTGGCTCCGCTGCTGATCGCTGTTTGCTATCCAAATACACGTCCCCATGTTGTTGACTCAGCCACCAGGTATTAGGAAGTGCGGGGCTTCCCGCCCCAGCTAGAGAGCCCGGCCTAACTCAGATGAGATATGTGAGTGCTGGAAAGTGTCATCATTTAAGAAGCTACCAGGGTCTGCCGGATGTTAGGCACAACATGGTCCTGATCCTGTCCCGGCACATAAGAAGCACGATGGTGCTGAGGCCCGAAAGCCAGCCTGCTAATACCCTCCTAGCCCTGGGAGTCCTGCCTTCCGCAGCCAGCTCACTGCACAGGCAGCAGGGGCAACTGTGCAAACCTGTCCACCAAGAGCTGATGGGCTCATGGGTCCAGAGTGGAGATGTCACTGCTGCAGGAGCCGGACGGCCAATGCTGAGCCAGGCCAGGAAGCCACAGCAAGTCAGTGACGCCCAGCAGCCGGAAGCTGGGGTGTTTGAGACCAAGACCATTGCCTCATGTCTCAGCCCCCACACCATGCCCCAGGGCCATTGTGTGGTTGCCAGGTCCCCACGTGAAGTGGTGAGGCAAATGCGGTCAATCACCATGGCCATGTGCCTGTGCCCAGCCTGGCCCAGCCCCCGACATCCTCCAGCAGTGCTCCCCTTCTCTGCCTGGTCCTTCACTCAAGGGATCCAAAATCCCAGTACTATACGGGCCTCTTTACCTTGCTAGAACCTCCTTCTGATGACGGAAGGCAGAGGCCCTCCAGACACCCCTTCTACCAGCAGGGAAGCCCTGGGGCTCCGGCCATCAAGCCTCTTTCTCTGAGTGAACAGAGGGTCCTAACAGCATCGTTTCTGGGAGCTTGCAACTCAGAAGATCCAAATCTCTTCAGCCCGACCTTGGGGCGATGTGGAAGAGGTCTAAGTCCCCAACAGGCGCCAGGTGTGCAAAGGAAATGCACCTGCAGGCAAAACCTGAGGCAGGTGGAGCCGGGTGCCCCACCCACGGCCAGAACAAAGAAGGCTCAGAAGGCCTGCAAGGGTGTCCTGGGCTCTAGGGTAGCAGGAGAGCAGGCGGGCCTCTCAGAAGGGGTGAGAAGAGCTGGCGGGTGAGGCAGAGGCCGGAGGAGGCTCAGCCAAGCTGCCAGGCTTCCCCTGCTGCTAGGGAGGGCCCTCCAGGAACTGAGTTAATCAGCAGGAAACCGATGGTTGTTTCCTGACAACCCTGCTGCTGCCGACACCATGGCCACCACCACCACAGGCACAGAATACACACACACACACACACACACACACACACACACACACACACACACAGGAATTTGGAAACAGGAAGGACAGCTGGCAACTTCTGGGGACCCACAATGCAATCCACTTTTTCAAATAACATAGACAAAACAGCACAAAGAATTCCTCCCTTTCCTGAGTGCAGACCATGTGTAGAGCCTCTTGCATGTGATATCTTGTTTCTATCTGGCAGAAGAACCCCTCCAGGAGTGACTGTCGTTCACCTGTTTTCTTTTCTTTTCTTTTCTTTTCTTTTTTTTTGAGACAGAGTCTCACTCTGTCACCCAGGCTGGAGTACAATGATGCGATCTCGGCTCACTGCAACCTCTGCCTCCTGGGTTCAAGCGATTCTCCCACCTCAGCCTCCCGAGTAGCTGGGACTACAGCTGCTACCACGCCCAGCTAATTTTTGTACTTTTAGTAAAGACAGGGTTTCACCATGTTAGCCAAGCTGGTCTTGAACTCCTGACCTCAAGTGATCTGCCTGCCTCGGCCTTCAGAAGTGCTGGGATTACAGGCATGAGCCACCGCATCCAGCCATTCCCATTTTCTAAACTCTGAGGGGCAAAGAAAGAAAGTCAGTGGGCCAAGCTTGCACAGCTGGTAGCGCCCACGTTTCCATACCCAGGCCAGGCAGGACTCAGAAGGCCATCTCTTAAACCACCTTGCTCTGCCTTGAATCAAGGAGTTTCTCCCCAGGCTCTGTGACCAGAGTCAAACCAAGTCTATGGGACAAGCTGGGCATGGTAGCGAATGCCTATGGTCCCAGCTACTTGGGAGGCTGAGTTGGGAGGATCGCTCAGGCCCAGGAGGTCAAGGCTGCAGTGAGCTATGATCATGCCTGTGAACAGACACTGCACTCCAGCCTGGGCAACAGAGTGAGAACCTGTCTCTAAAAAAACAGGAAAAAGGAACATATGGGACAAGGCAGAAGGCTCAACGTGGAGTAGCCGGCTAGCCTAGGAGCCAACCCCTTTCTGCCTGAACTGGCCTGTTGGGATCTCGAGGGTGAAGTGGGAGCGAGAAGACTTCTGCCTGTCCAACTCTTCTCCTGCTTTCCACTTCCTAAGCTTAAAAAGCACACCTCCCGCTGCAAACTTTCCCCACCTTTAACATCCCCAGTGCTTCTCAAACTCTGTGGTGAAAGGTCAGTTTGATTCATCTTAATCCTTAATCCCTCTCAGATCTAACATCAACAAGCAGTTTAGTCCTGAGTCCTGCCACGTGGGGTCAACAGTGCTCACCCTGGCCCACACGCTGTTCGAGATGAAGCCACCAATCGCCCATTTGGATGTCATCCTGCCAATGTCAAACTACAGAAGTTTCTAAACACCAATCCCATTTTCTATGTTTAGCTCCTCCTCTTGCTTGGTTAACATTGTGCAGAACAGCACTGGTGCATGGCCCATACTTTTGTGGGGCACTGGCCTAAGAATACACAAGAATGTTTATAAATTAAAGAATTTTAAATGCAGATATATATTTCCTCTTAAGTGAAAATTCTAGCCACAGAGCCTCAAATTTCAAACACACACTTTTTTTTTCTTTTTTTAGAAACAAGTTCTTGCTATGTTGTCCATGCTGGCCTTGAACTCCTGGACTCAAGGAATCCTCTTGCTTTAGCCTCCTGAGTAGCTAAGACTATACAGGCCAAACACACATTCTTTTTTTTTTTTTTTTTTTGAGATGGAATCTCACTCTTGCCCAGGCTGGAGTGCAGTAGCACAATCTCAGCTCACTGCAACCTCTGCCTCCTGGGTTCAAGCAATTCTCCTGCCTCAGCCTCCCAAGTACCTGGGATTACAGGTGCCCACCACCATGTCCAGCTAATTTTTGTATTTTTAGTGGAGATGGGGTTTTGCCATGTTGGCCAGGCTGGTCTCGAACTCCTGACCTCAAGTGATCCTCCTGCCTAGGCCTCCCAAAGTGCTGTGATTGCAGGCATGAGCCACCGTGCCCAGCCCCAAACACACATTCTTAATTGTTACTTTTTGGGGGCCATTTAATTTTCCAAGTTCATCCAATCTGCCTCTCCTCTCTCTTAAAAATAGAAAATAATACATTTAAATGTCCTGGAATTTACATTCAACCACATGTGATCTGCTGAGTTCCATGGAGCTGAGGTTGAAAGAGAACGTTCTGTTAATGAGAAATTCACAGTGGCTGGACACAGTGGCTCACGCCTATAATCCCAGCACTTTGGGAGACCGAGGCGGGAGGATCACCTGAGGTTGGGAGCTCGAGACCAGCCTGGCCAATATGGCAAAACTCTGTCTCTACTAAAAATACAAAAATTAGCTAGGCGTGGTGGCAGGCGCCTCTAATCCCAGCTACTTGGGAGGCTGAGGGCAAGAGAATTGCTTGAACCTGGGAGCCAGAGGTTGCAGTGAGCTGAGATCGCGCCACTGCACTCCAGCCTGGGCGACAGCGAGACTCCGTCTCAAAAAAACAGAAATTCACAGTCAATACTCAGTACACAATATAATGTTAGTAGCTGGATGGCTTCCTTCAGATGAAAATGGGCTTTAGTCGATACTAGCCCAAGTATCTGCAGGTTTAATTTCAGAATAAAAAGCCACTGTAACAGTTCATAGCTGGCCCAAGCTGGCCGTAACAACACTGGCACCTAGGAATACCTGAGGGTATTTTAAGGTGCAGGCACTTGGTTCCCACCCACCCAGATCCAGTGGATTTGGGGCTGGACCCAGGCAACTGCATTTTAACAAGCTCCCCAGCAGAGAGTGAGAGATGACGTGGCCACTGAAGATGCCCCTGCTGCATGAAAACAAGAGAGATGGGCTATGACCAGTGGCTCACAAGAATTGGTCTTGGGAATGCAAAACAAGCAAAAACAAAACCAACCGGGTTTCTCCCATGGGGCAAGTGCTGTGCAAAGACCTGGTGTTGAGAGACCAGAGTTACAGTTTTTTAGAACTTCCTGTGTGTCCTCACTTAACCTCTCTAGTCTTCCGATTTCCTCAAAGGAGACAGGACAAATGAGAGCGCTGCTTCTCAAATGTGCTGAGGAATCACCCGGGGATCTTGCTAAAATGCAGATTCTGCTTCAGCAGGTCTAGGGTGCTGTGAGAGATACTTCGTTTCCATTAATAATAAGCTCCCGGGTGATGCTGCATCCTGGATCCCCCCAGGGTACATTTCAATCCCGAGAGTCTATGATTAGTCACTATATTCACACAGCTTATGTGTTCTTTTTCATTCACTTCAATCAATGTGTTGGATTAAACTCACAACTATTATTCTCATTTATGAACAAAACCCATCACCACCAACTGTCGGGTCCACAACCTCTTGAGATGAGCCTAAGCCTCCAATTCAAATGTTTCTTTAAAGAAAGAAAAAGAAATGGCCATTTTGTATTTGTTGGTATCCATTTGTTACCAAACAATCCATTAAGCATTTTTTTTTTTTTCTTTTTTTTTGAGACGGAGTCTCGCTCTGTCGCCCAGGCTGGAGTGCAGTGGCGGGATCTCGGCTCACTGCAAGCTCCGCCTCCCGGGTTCACGCCATTCTCCTGCCTCAGCCTCCCAAGTAGCTGGGACTACAGGCGCGCGCCACCATGCCCGGCTAATTTTTTGTATTTTTTTAAGTAGAGACGGGGTTTCACCGTGTTAGCCAGGATGGTCTTGATCTCCTGACCTCATGATCTGCCTGCCTCGGCCTCCCAAAGAGCTGGGATTACAGGCGTGAGCCACCGCGCCCAGCCAATTTTTTTTTTTTTAATTTGAAATGACCCTCTCTGCAGCACAGATACAGCTCTTTCCTACTGGGCATATGTGACTGCCCTGTTGGGAAGGTGGCTTCATATTCCCACCCAGATGGGCCTGCTTGGTGCCCCCTCCCCCACTGGTTAACACACACTCTGTGCGCACATGTTCAGAGTGTTCGGCCAGGGCCTGGCACATGATAAGCATTCAACTCCTGCCAGCTGTTTCGTTCAGAGACAAGGAAATGAAAGCCCAGAAGGCTTACGATTTGCTGAAAGTCAAGTTCTTGGCAAAACCAAGACCGGCCTTGAAACCCATCCCTCCTTCCTCTGTGCCTCAGTTTCCTCATCTATAAAATGGAGCTGATAGCTAATTCTTTCTTTTTTTTTTTTTTTTTTTTTTTTGAGATGGAGTTTTGCTCTTGTTGCCCAGGCCGGAATGCAATGGCGTGATATTGGCTCACTGCAACCTCTGCCTCCCAGGTTCCAGTGATTTTCCTGCCTCAGCCTCCCAAATAGCTGGGATCACAGGCATGCACCACCACATCCGGCTAATTTTGTATTTTTAGTAGAGACGGGGTTTCACCATGTTGGCCAGGCTGGTCTCGAACTCCTGACCTCAGGCGATCCATCCGCCTCAGCCTCCCAAAGTGTTGGGATTACAGGTGTGAGCCACTGTGCCCGGCCGATAGCTAATGCTAATGGCTGTTGTGAAAATTAAATAAGGAATGTCTGTAAATGCACTTAGGCTGGCACTTAATAACTGCTCATATGATTGTGATTATCAAGCTTGATCTTTTTAATTACTAAAAAGTTTTTTGGCCAGGCACGGTGGGTCACGCCTGTAATCCCAGCACTTTGGGAGGCCGAGGTGGGCGGATCACCTAAGGTCAGGAGTTTGAGACCAGCCTGGCCAACATGGTGAAACCCCATCTCTACTAAAAATAGAAAAATTAGCCGGGCATGGTGGCATGTGCCTGTAATCCCAGCTACTCGGGAGGCTGAGGCAGGAGAATCACTGGAACCCGGAGGTGGAGGTTGTAGTGAGCCAAGATCAAACCACTGCACTCCAGCCTAGACGACAGAGTTGAGACTCTGTCTCAAAAACAAAACAGAACAAAAAATTTTTTTGTAGAGACTGGGTCTTGCTACCTTTCCCAGGCTGGTCTCAATCTCCTGGCCGCAAGCGATCCTCCCACCTTGGCTTCCCAAAGTGCTAGGATTACATGTGTGAGCCACCATGCTTGGTCTATTATCAAGTTTGAAAGTCCCAGAATGACATAAAATCCATTCCCGTTTGAGTTGGAGTTTGTTCATTCTCTGTGGTTTGTATCAGCACTAACTGCCCTGGTGATGTCAAATGGCCAGAAGGGCCCCTACACCTTGCTGGGACCTTTTAGGTTGGACCAGGAGAGCTCACCACCCTGTAAATATATCCCATGACACACACCTGGCTGGTGCTCTCCCAGAGAAACCTTCTCCAGCTGAGGGAAACCCTGTGCAAATATGTTCCTGGGTCAAAGTCCTCTGAGAGGTTTCCCAGTGGGCACTCATTCCACACCCACATTTATTATCTCTATAATTGCCAGGCATGGGAGTAGGCGTTGGGAAAAAGTAAGAGCAATAAACAGAGCACAGCCTTTCCCTGCCATGAGCTTACTAAACTGTAAATAACTTGCTTTTAAATTAACATTTTCCATTATAAAATTAATAAAACCACCCATTACAAAAGGTTTGAAAAAGACGGATGAGAAAAACATGAATACTCCTTCTCACCCTAATGCAACCACTTCTTGTGTATTTCTTCCCAGTCCTCTTCATGCATGTGTTTTTCACATGGTTTTGATCACAGTGTATACAATCTGGTGTCCTACTTGTTTTCCCTTATCTGGATGCCACAAGCAATTTTCCATCTTGCATGTCCGTAATCGATCACCCATGTTCATAGTCACACCGTTCACACACATCCCCATTTGCCTGCCAATTCTTGCACTGGAGGACATTGAGATTGCTTCCCGTCTGTCCACACTGCCCAACAAATCACCTCCATGCATTCACGCACAGAGAAGATAAAGGGAAGAGGCAAATGTCAGGTAATTTGATGGTGTCAGAAGGGACTTGGTGAATAATGACACTGTGTCAACTGGGGCAAGTTACTTAACCTCTCTGAACCTCAACTTCCTGTAATATGGGCAGAATTGTAAAAAGGATTTAAACAGGAGGCCATTGGTAAACTCCCAGCACAGGGCATGATCCACAATAAATGCATGTTTTCTTTTCTCTTACATATCAGCAGGTCATGTTGGTGACTCCTAAATACCTTCTCAGAGACTGGGACAATCTGCAGAGACACCCTTGGAGCACAGTGCAGCAGCTTCCCATACCCTGCATTCAGATTGCTAAGTTCTGGGTGACAGAGGATTTGTATGCGGAACTATTGAAGGGAGAAATGATGTGTGCTCTGTAACTTTCTTCAAAATGGTTCAGGAAAAAATATATATACCTGTGCAGATGAAGCAAATATGGCAAATGTTAACATCTATTATATCTCAGCCATTGGTGTATGGGTATTTACTGTTATATACTTTCAATTTTTCTCAATAGTTGAAATTCTTTCATAATAAAATCTTTTAAAAACTCTTCTAATTTAAAAAGTTAAAAATGGTATACTTTCAAAACTTGTATTGCATTCATTAATTTCTTCAACAAATATTAATTCAATAGAGTCAACAAATATTAACTCAATTTAGTATCTGTTACGCAGAACTGACCTGGTTCCTAGCCTCATGGAGCTCACCATTTGGCATTTTCTTTAGGTCGGGCATTTGTTTGCTAATTATATCGTCTGTGCATATTGTCTTCAAATTTAAATCTTTTTTTTTTTTTTTCGAGACAGTGTCTCACTCCATCACCAAGGCTAGAGTACAGTGGCACAATCTCGGCTAACTGCAACCTCCCAGGTTCAAGTGATTCTCATGCCTCAGCCTTCCGAGCAGCTGGGACTATAGGCACACACCACCACATCCAGCTAATTTTTGTATTTTTAGTAGAGACAGGGTTTTGCCATGTTGGCCAGGCTGGTTTTGAACTCCTGGCCTCAAATGATCAGCCTGCCTTGGCCTCCCAAAGTGCTAGTATTACAGGCATGAGCAAGGCCTTCAAATTTAAATCTTGATTTTTAAAAACTAATCTATATATAGGATCTTGGTAGAATTAAAATATCAATGGCTGGGCATATGGCTCACGTCTATAATCCTAGCACTTTGGGAGGCCGAGGCAGGTGGATCATTTAAGGTCAGGAGATTGAGACAAGCCTGACCAACATGGTGAAACCCCGTCTCTACTAAAAATACAAGAATTAGCCGGGTTGGTGGCACACGCCTGTGATCCCAGCTACTTGGGAGGCTGAGGCAGGAGAATCGCTTGAACCCAGGAGTTGGACATTGCAGTGAGCTGAGATCTCGCCATTGCACTCCAGCCTGGGCGACAGAGCAAGACTCTGTCTCCAAAAAAAAAACAGAAGAAGAAAAAGAAGTTACAATTTTTTAAGGTAGTCAAATCTGTTGAATTTTTTGATGACTTTTGCTATTGGTTCTAAACTTTGGAAATAAACCTCTAGCCTAAGATTTGGCAGAGGGTAAATTGTACTTACTGTTATTTAATACTTTTACTCTTTCTTTATAATATTTATATGTTTCTGTTTCAGTATTATCATGTTGACTAGAGTGTTAAAAGCAATGTTAAATAGTGATGGTGATGGCAGACCTCCTTATTTTGTTACTGGTTTCCACAAGAATGCCTCTAGTGTTTAAGTTAATTACAGAATTGGTTATTGGTTTGAAATATTTTTTATTATGCTAAGAATGCACCCTTCTGTTCCTTTTTTTTGCTGTATTGGTTAGGTAGACATGGTTGTTCAATTTAATCATTTTTCCCCAGCACATATTGGAAACAATACGGTTTTACTTTTTTAATGCATTAGCATGACGTAGTTACTATATTAAGCTTTCCTAATATTGACTATTCTTTCCTCCTGCCCCACTGGGTTATGGTGGATGACTTGTTTAATATATTATTGAATTCTATTTCCTACCCAGCATTTTCATGCTTCAAAATAGTCTCTTTGCCATGTTTAATATCAGGCTTATTTTGCTTTGTAGAATGAACTGGAGAGCTCTCCATCTTTTGCTAAGCTGTGGAACAGCTTAGCATTATCAGTATTATCAAATTCAAAATAATTAACTAGCAAAAACACTTGGGACCAGTGTCTTTGGTGGGTAGAGGGGCAATGCTTCGATAAGGATTGAAAATTTTTTCTCAATTAGCAACATATATATTTTCAGAAAAGCATGCATTTAATTGAGATTTTGAAATTATGCCTATGATTGTGCATACGTTTCTATTATTTTAAAATCTCCTCTGTATCTATTGCAATGTCCCCTTTCTCATTCCCTTTTTTTTTTTTGTTGTTGTTGTTGTTGTTTTGTTTTTTTTCTCATTTCTCCCTTTTATTTCTCAAATAGAATTGCCAGGGGTTAGGCTACTTTACTGTTTGTTTAAAAACAGAATCAGCTCTTGGATACGTTTGCTGATTTCACTGTGTTTCCGTTTCTTAATTCATTGATTTCTGCCTTTATCTTTACTATTTTTTTCCCCTCTCATTTTCCTTAGGGGCTGTTTTTATTCTTTTTTTTTCCTAAGCACTCAGGCTGAATGCTTAGTTTATTTGCCTTTTCTCTCTCCCTTTTTAATAATAAAAGCATTTAAGGCTATGAGAATAGTGCCAGCTGTCTCCCATAGGTTTGGGTATGTGGCATTCTAGTTTTCAATGCTTTCTAAATATTTGTCAGTACATTCTTTATTTCTTCCTTGAACCAATAGCAATTTAAGTGCTTTAAATTTTTTCAAGTGGTTGGGTTTTAGTTTGTTTAAATTTACAATATTTTGGCGAGGTTTACTGCATGGTGATCAAAGGACTCCCCGACTGGCACAATTTCTGTTTTGGGTAGAATATGAGTTTTTGCAGTTGGTTACTGGTAGCTGACAGAAATGTTTGCAAAGCATATGCTCACTTGTAAAGCCCATGTGCTTTTTTAAAGTTTTTGTTTGCCATAATGTTATGTCAAATGAAAAAGAAAAATGATATAAAGTTCAATGTGCTTGTAACCATGTTTAAAATACAGTGTATTTACATATATGCAATGAAAAAGGCTGTGAGGAAATACACAAAAGTACTAAATGGTGTTGGTAATTTCCAGCTTGTGAGATTATGGAGCAATTTGTACTGTCTTTACCCTTGTCTGTGTTTATCAGATTGTCTACATAAACCATAAGGTTGACTATTTTAATAATAAGATTTCTTTAAATATGTATTTGCCCAAGGTTTGGTCACAGACATGCTCTGCTGTTAGAACAGTATTTCTGCAAAACTCCCCCTGGCCAGAGAGTGAAGGAAGCCACCAAGAAGAACTTGAGGAATAATTGGATTTAGACCCAAAAGAGTGTTGATGCCTGCAGACGGTGGCCCTGTGAGGGACCCGGTCACCCTGGCTCTGGAGGAGGAAATTCATTTTCAGGGGTGCCCCGGAGAACTGCCCTCATCCCTCCACGTCCCCTACTCTCAAATGAGCTTCCCCTGCTTACTGTCATGGCTGTTTTCTCTCACAGGGAAAAGACAGGTATATGAAAAACAGCCAGTGAAATCCAACCACAGCAACACATCCGTGCACGCTATTTTCTTTCTTCCTCAGCATGATCTCTAAAGCCCACTCAAAAAACTGCATTTTCAACCCAAGGTCAACTGCCAGAGACCAAGTGAATTCAGAGGAACTCTGGCCAAATACCCGGTGCAGGCCCTTGCTAATGGAAAGGGTGGCCGATGTTCACCTTGGATGTTCTATCGGTTCCTGCCACCCACCCCAACACCGGCAGCTCAGGAGAGGAGGTGGCCAAAAACTCCAGGGAGATGTAGCAGCCTGATCTAGCAGGGAGACCTACCTGCCCACCCTCAGAAGAAAGCAAGGATGGAGGTGGAGGGAGAGGCAGCAGAGATGATAAAGTATGAGAGGAAGAGGGGGCATGGCAAGGAAGCCACAGACAGAGTAGTTCCTGGGGGACCCATCATTTCACAAGCAGGTGAATGCACTGCCCAGGCGCCACGGCCTTGCAGCCACCTGCGCTCCCTTCCCCACACATCTACTGCCATTACTGGGAGTCATCTTGCACCGGGGTCTTCCTCCTCTCTTTCTCTGCCACCCATTCTCATGGATCTGAATCCTCTGGACCAGATGGGAGGAAGAAGCACAGGTGGGGGGCCATCAGCTGTCTCAACTGGCATCCAATGACCCTCCCACCCCCAACATAGTCTGGTGGGGTCCGGGTCCATAGGAGTCAGAGGGAGGAAGACACTCCTAGAAAGTCAGGGGAAGAGCATCCTGACCGGGGTGCCCTTTTCTGGGGGGAATGTGTTAAGATGGCCAATGAAATAAGGCATGGGCCAAAAGAACTGCAGTGATGGGCAGAGATACTGGGGTGCCCAGTGCCCCAGTGGAGCATCTTGTTTTCTGGGAATGCTCGCCGCCTGGGCATGGCTTAGGTAAGGGGTGGGAAGGAGGGTTGCATCATGTGGCCAGGGAAAAGAGCCACAGACATCCTTTCTCTATAAACCTGGTCCTTGCCCCCTCCCTACTCCATGGCTGGGTGTTCTGGGTTGCCACCTTCAAGCATGCTTTTTTTTTTTTGAAGGTCTCACTCTGTCACCCAGACTGCAGTGCAGTGGCACGATCTCGGCTCACTGCAACCTCCACCTCCCAGGCTCAAGTGATCTGCCTATCTTAGCTTCCCGAGTAGCTGGGACTACAGGTGTATGCCACTATGTCCAGCTAATTTTTTTGTATTTTTGGTAGAGACCGGGTTTTGCCATGCTGCCTAGGCTGGTCTCGAACTTCTGAGCTCAATGATCCACCTGCCTTGGCCTCCCAAAGTGCTGGGATTACAGGTGTGAGCCACCATGCCTGGTCAAGCATTGTTTTGTTTTATTTTGCTTTTAATAGAGTTGGGGTCTCACTCTGTCACCCAGGCTGGTGTGCAGTGGTGTGATCATGGTTCACTGCAGCCGTGAACTCTTGGGCTCAAGAGATCTTCCTGCCTCAGCCACCTGAGTCACAGGGATTACAGGCATGAGCCACCATGCCTGGTTCACCTGCAAGTGTGTTTATGTTCAATTTGATGCCACCTACAGGCACCAACTTCCTACCTGCTGCTCCATGCAGTGGGCTGAACCTCCAACTCAGAATGTAGCCAAGAACTTGCAGCTATCACTCTTTGGAAGAGTGCTACCCAAAGAAGGGCTGGCTTCCAGTTTGTCAGCCAGCAGAAGAACTTGTGCAAGGAGAATGGAAATGAGCTGGTGTTTTAGCTCTGATTTTTATCTAGAAGCCACCAGGCTGTCCAGTGGCTCACCTACCTCTGTAGCTCCTGCTTTACTTTTCTGGTAGGTCTTAGGAGCTGGGTGGCAGAGTGGTTCAATGGATGGAGTGTGAGCTTTGGACTCATCGCATCTGGGTTCAAATCCCACTACCACTCCTTATAGGTGCGAGGCCTTGGGAAAGCAGCCACCTTCATAAGCCTCAGTTTCCCTGTCCGTAAAATGGGGAGAGGAATGCTATTTCTCAGTGGGTCACTGAATTCAAAGAATCTAGATCAGTGTCCGGCCTATAGCAGCTACTTGACAGACATTAATTCTCCTTCTCTTCCCCTTGCCAGGACTGGGGAAAACCCTACCTGAAGATGTCATGTACTCCCGCAACATTTCAAAAGAGCTTTCTACATTCTCAAATGGATTCAGTAACTATAAATATGTATTAAGAACATGCCCCAGTGGAAAAATTTTACTTGGGGTTACTTCTCAGTGAGTTTTAAGAAACACAATCAAGCCCATTAATGTACTTTTGTAAATTATATGTAAACAGCTGGTGCAAAGCAGAAATTCTAGGCGAAATGAAAAGGAATTCAAGTAAAAGTGCCATATGTATTCCTCTGAGGGGTTTCTCGTCTCTCAGGTCAACATTTCCAAAGGGATTTCCCCATAGGGATTTAACAACACAAGCCCCAAGTCTCCCGGCTTATGCCAGAGTGATCCGCCATAGTGTTTCTTTGCTCAGAACCCACTAGTGGCCTCCCAGGCCTCAGGATGAAGCCCGAGCCTTTTGACACATTCTCAGTTGGTCCCTACCTATACCTGCAGCCTCATCTTCTACCATCTCACCCACAATCCCCCTCGGACTCCTCAAGTGTGTCCCTTGCTGCCTTTGCATGTTTGAGTCCCCCATGCCTCCTTTTTGTTTTGTTTTGTTTTTTTGAGACAGAGTCTCACTCTGTCCCCCAGGCTGGAGTGCAGTGGCGCAATCTCGGCTCACTGCAACCTCTGCCTCCCAGGTTCAAGCGATTCTCCTGCCTCAGCCTCCTGAGTAGCTGGGATTACAGGCATGCACCACCACACCCGGCTAATTTTTGTATTTTTAGTAGAGATGGGGTTTCACTATATTGGTCAGGCTGGTCTTGAACTCCTGACCTCGTGATTCGCTCGCCTCGGCCACCCAAAGTTCTGGGATTACAGGCGTGAGCCACTGTACCCAGCCTTGTTTTGTTTTTTGAGACAGAGTCTCGCTCTGTAACCCAGCCTGAAGTACAGTGGCTGGATCTCAGCTCACTGCAACCTCTGCCTCCCTGGTTCAAGCGATTCTCCTGCCTCAGCCTCCCAAGTAGCTGGGACTTACAGGCATGCGCCACCATGCCCGGCTAATTTTTGTATTTTTAGTAGAGACGGGTTTTGCTATGTTCACCTGGTCTTGAACTTCTGACCTCAGGTGATCCGCCTGCCTCAGCCTCCCAAAGTGCTGGGATTACAGGTGTGAGCCACCACGCCTGGTCCCCCATGCCGCCTTTGTCTGCTAGGACTCAGCTAGACACCACCTCCACCAAGCAGTCTTCCCTACAGCCCCCTGCCCCCAGCACATTCGAAGAGCTAACTTCCTGTGCTTTTGTGTCTATATCCAATATCTAGTACCCCTTCTGGACTGGGGGCTCACTGGGGAGAGAGACCATGCCATTCACCTTAATATGACAGAGTTTAACACATGGTAGGTAGTTGGTAAATGTTTGCTGATTGAATGAAGGAAGTAAGAGAGAACAAAGGGCGATTTTTCAGAGAACAGAGGATTCAGGATGGTGCAGGCCTGTCTCCTGACTTCATAGCACCGCGGTCCGCAGGTAATAGTGATAGCCATGGGTTATATACAAACACACAGTGTAGCTATGAAAAGTAGGCTCATGAACCCATTTTACAGGCTGTGAAACCAAGGCTTGGGGAGGCTGTGGGTCATCAGGGCTAGGAGATGGTGAGCCGAGGCTGAAAGCTGTAGGTCCTCTAATCCTGAGTCCTGTGACTTAAGGATGAGGTCCTCCCCTTGCCTCTGAGCCGCTTCAGCGGGGCTCTTTCAGGTCTGCACCTGCCTGTGGGGAAAAGAGCAGCTCTGTGTTTCTGTGTCTAATGCAGTTTCCATCCAACAAAGGACGCAGTTGAGAGAGCTCCCCAAGGCTAAGGCGGGTCCAGGTCAGAAGTCTGAACACACACTGGAGAAACGTTTGACTCCATAGCAAGGAACCCAGGGCTGAAACCCTCACCCTTGGAGCTGACGTCCCCCAGGCTGCTAAGGGGGGGGGGGTGCCACACCCTCTCTCACAGGACTCCAAAGTTGCCCACTACTCATGCCCTTGGTGGGTCCAACACTATCACAAATGGACCCCTGCTTTCCCCAAATCTTAATTGATTAAAGAAGCAAAGTGACAAGTTTCATCTGAATCTAAGGTTGCAGAATGAGATCTGTAACACTGTCACAAGTTGCGGGGAGGCGGGTGGGGGACCCGCCATTCAGGGAGGAGAGGGAGGACCGGGCAGATAAGAGATCTCATCCCCAGACAGATAACGGGGCTAAAATGACAAAGGAGCTGGGAGCCATTGCTGGCACTTTGAGAAAAAGGAAGAGCATATTAAAATTTAAACAAAGCCCACCCCAGGGGAAACATGCAGCCTCCTTCTCCCAAACTGCGCCTCTCATTTCCAACACACATGAGGCGTCAGGTTCACAGAAACCGAAACGTCCCTCATCTCAAGGGGCTGGGGTTTGTGTTTTTGTTTTTTGTAACCCATCCCGGCAGCAGCTGGCATGCTGTGTCTCCCCGGGGGCGGGGAGGCAGTTCGGGCCTCCACCAGCCCCCATGGCCTTCTTGGCAGAACTGAGAAGAAAGGGTGGGCTGGGCTTGGGCCTCAGCTGGGACAGCCCTGCCTGGACGGAAGGGTGCAGGGGCGTTGGTAGCAGAGCTGGAGGAGGGAAGGGGCTGTGAGGTGCCTGGATGTGCCCAGTCCTGAAGGTGGGCACCAGTCTAGGTCCCGGCAGGAGAGAAAAGGGAAGAAAGAAGCTCAGCCCACAGGAAGGGCCCCAGAGGCCCCATGAAGAATGCGCTGTCACGCAGGAGGAAGACAGCGGAAAAGGAGGAAGAGCCGGTCAGCAGTGGGAACAGGAAGGTCCGATTTAGACCACGTAAATGCTACTTCCTCAGTAATTCCATCAAACTTCCCTCTGTTCCCCACACCAAGTGATGACGAAGAACTGGGCTTCAAGGGGCTGAAAGTCTGGGCAGAGGCACTTCCTTGGCCTGGACTCCTGGGCTAGAGTCTGAGGCCTCCACAGGAAATCCTCGGCTCCCCCACTCACCGCCCCCCAATAAGCACCAACCTAGTCTCTGGATTAGGGCAGGATGTTTGTTTAGGAGCATTCTCTTGGAAGAAAGACCAGCCTAAGTTCTCTGACAGACTCTGGAATCCTCAAAGCCAGCTCTCTGTCCCGGGCACCCTAACGGCTGGCACCAGAGAAGGTTACCCTGGGGAGCCACAGGCCTGCAGCTTCCTGGGGTCATGGGAGGCAAGACAGGGTCTCTGGGCCCAGCCCTCGCACTCCCATTGTAAAGCGACGGGCCAGGATGACAGACTCCCTTTCCTAGGTCAGCTGTGCCCGGAGTCTCTCAGGCCCTTCCTTGCCATTTACTCTCAGCCAACCTGTATGACCCGTGAGAAACATTAGGAAACAGAGGTCTGAAAGACTCACAACCATGTTTAAAAGAATGGGAGTTAGTATTTGGCTAAACAGAATCCAAATATGATACAATGTGTCTGGGGGCAATTTACCCATCTAGACGAACAGCCTTTAGAATGTGTCCTTGGCCCAGTGATTCTCTTCTGGAGATGTATCCCAAGGAAATAACCAAGTCTGTGGGCAAATATACCCAAGGATGTTTACCACAGCATTCTTTACAAGACAGAAACAGAGGAAACAAGCTAAATGTAGGAGATTGGTTAAATAAATGATAGTCCATCTGTTCAAAAGAACTATACAACCCTTTAAAGTGACTTGACGGAGGCTGCTTAACCTGATGGAAATTTTAATCACATGTTGTAAAGTAAAAGCAAAAAAAAAAAAAAAAAAAAAAGAAAGAAAAAGTAATAAGATGGTACAAACAGTATGATCTCATCTTTTGAAATTGAAAAATATTCTGGGGGGGCTATACAATATACTAAAATATTAATAATTATAGGTGGTTTTTATCTTTTTTGCCTACTTATAGTCCCTAAATTTTCTGCAATAATCATCAACCTCTTTGTAGCAAGAAAAAAAAATCAATAAAAGCTATTTTCTAAAAAACAAAAGGAAGAGATACAAGATCCAAGAGACTGTTCATTCCTTGGGCATTCAAATCTAAGATGGATTAAAAAACAAACAAACAAACAAAAAACCACTAGACAGAGACATCTTAAATCCACCTAAGAATATTTAAGAATATTTTCAAGGTGGTTTCCAGGACAGGGAAATTAGAATCCTCCAGAAGGCCCTACTGAGCACAGGAAGACTGAGAGCCACCAGCAGGGAGACACATCCTCCAGCAACGTCCATGAAGACCCAGGGCCCAGCTTTCCTGTGTGGGCCCTTCCAGTCACTGTAGCTGAGTGGGGAGGTGAGGGGCAGGCAGGGGCCAAGGTGCAAAAAGGCAAAGCAGACATGACCTCTGTCCTGGTTTACGGAAAGGGCAATGGCCGTTTCTTTAGACAGTGAATTCAAAGAGGAGGCGAAAAAAGGCCAGTTCTTAATCTGAGATTTGTTAATCTAGGTGGCGACAAGAAATGAATTTTTACAACCACGGTAGGAAAACCCCAGCTGGGCGCGGTGGCTCACGCCTGTAATCTCAGCACTTTGGGAGGCCACGGTAGGCGGATCACCTGAAGTCAGGAGTTCAAGACCAGCCTGCCAACATGGTGAAACCCCGGCTCTACTAAAAATACAAAAAGTAGCTGGGTGTGGTGGCACACGCCTGTGATCCCAGCTATTCAGGAAGCTGAGGCAGGTGAACTGCTTGAATCCGGGAGGCGGAGGTTGCAGTGAGTCGAGATCACGCCACTGTCCTCCAGTCTGGGTGACAGAGCAAGACTCCATTTCAAAAAAAAAAAAAAAAGAAAAAAGAAAAGAAAAGCCCCAAAACAGGGATTTGGAAGAGAAATTCTAACAAGCTCTGTAATTGAAGCAAAAGAACACAGCTGATGTTACACAGAAGTTTTTCTGGGGGAGACAGAACACAAGAAGATGATGGAGCAGAATGCTGGGTAGGACGTCCAGAGCGCTCACAGCACACTGTGAGTGAGAAGCTAGCCTTTGCTAAGAGAGATGCCCTGGAGCCCAAGGAAGGAGATTCCATAGGGCATGGCCTTAATTATTCAAGCACCAGGAAAACCTGAGGAGCAGTGGGGAGGTGTCTCAATGTTGCCGGTCCCTTTATGATCAAAAGCCAAAAGCTTTAAAGTCTATTTCAGATATCAAAATGCATCCATTTGGGAACCGTTTCCTGGGTGCTTCCCATCCATTCTCGAATTCTGCAAACAACTGGGCACTGATGAGTATAAACTTTCCAGGGGAACAGCACCATGCTGTTCAAGACACTCCCACCTTCACCAAGTAACCAAACAAAAGTGGACAGGATGGGTCATTAGGATGCATCCCTTGCAAGATGCCAAGCAGTATAGTGACAGGATGTTGGACATGCCAGCTCAGGCCCACAGATCCCGAAAACTTCCTACCCCCGAGAGCATTCCTCAGCCCAAAAGGACCCTGCTTCTTTCTTAAAGAATGATGACTCCAAGTTAGAAAATAAATATGGCACCACACACAAGGACAGCCGGAGCTGGATGATTTTGTATCTCTTAAAGACATCAAATTCTTCCCCTGGTGAAGCTATAGCCTGTAAATTACAGCCTTGTATTATATATGGCCAACACTTTCAGCTTTGTTCTCCATACAGCATTTCTCATCAGCAAGGAGGAAGCAGTCAATACCCTACTTTGAAAAACAGCACAGGTGGTTCTGGGAAACAAATAATAAAAATGCACCTCTCCCTCCCTTTAATTAAAGACATGCTATCCAATGGCACTTCTGAATAGAAAAATATTTTTAAAAAGTTATTCTCCCAGAATCTTCCAAGTACCAAGTGCCTTTACCCCTAAAAAGTTCCCTGCCATAAAACAAAGTGAATGCACCAGCTTAGGGAGCCAGGAAATGCTCCCTCAGCACCTGGCAGCAGCTGGCACCTACCTGAGGCCAGTTTACAGACAGAAAGAAAAGCTCCCTTGAAATAACGCTAAGGTTCAGACATTCTGATAAAAGCTGGGAACTTCAAAGGCAGGACTGCAGAGCCAATCCGTAATCCTCCTCGAAGTGTCTGATGTGGCTGGCTGGGCTCTGGGCTTGCCTTTACCACCTACTGCCTGAGCTTTTGCCCCGTAGGCACAAGCCAGCTGCAGAGGCAGGAGTGGAAGTTTCTTTACAGTCACTCCCTTTGCAGAGATGGGTCTAGGCTATGGTGTATGGCCATTTGTCCTTGACCAATGAAATGTTGGTTAAAAAAAACAAGAGGCCAGGCACAGTGGCCCACGCCTATAATCCTTGGGAAGCCAAGGTGGAAGAATCACTGAGGCCGTTAGCTTGAGACCAGCACAGACCCCACCTCTACAAAAAATTTAAAAATGAGCCAGGCATGATGGTACATGCCTGTAGTCCCAGCTACTTGGGAGGCCGAGGCAGGAGGATCACTTGAGCCCAGGAGTTTGAGGCTGCAGTGAGCTATGATCGTACCACTGCATTCTAGCGTGGGTGACAGAGTGAGACCTGTCTCAAAAAAATAAAATAAATATAAGAAAGCAAGAAAAGAAAACTGACAGAGATGAGTCCAATGGCTCTGGAGTCAGGACTGAATTCAATGCCAGGTTCCAAGGCTAACTCTCTCCATGAACTTGGGCAAGTCATTTCAGACTTCTGAGCTTCAGTTTCTCGGTCTAAAAATGATAACCTTGCACCAGTTTCTGGAGAGTATTAACTGAAATCGTCTATGTGAAAATGCAGAGCAAAGGTGAAAGACTTCTTCCCCACCTCCGCCTACCCTCCTTTCTTTCTACCCATCCTTTTTTCCTTCTTTAAAAAAAATTATTAGGTAGTATGTGCACAAGGTACAAGATTCAAAATACAGAAAAAGATACACCATGAAAAGTCAGCCCCGACTGTGGGAAACCACTGTTACCAGCCTCCTAGATATCCTTGCGGAGCTACTGCATAAGCAGGCATTCTATCCCTCTCTCTCACTTAAAATGTCTTAGTTGGTACATAGTGTACATTGGTACATAGGGCGTGTCCATTCTTTATTACAACTGCACAGAATTGCATCGTATGGCATTGGGCGCGGTGACTCACGCCTGTAATCCCAACACTTTGGGAGGCTGAAGGGGGGATTGCTTGAGTCCAGGAGTTCGAGACCAGCCTGGGCAATATAGTGAGACCTTGTCTCTACAAAAAATTTAAAAATTAGCTGGGTGGGTTTTCTCAGTATTTACGGGCATGCGCCTGTGTTCCCAGATACTTGGGAAGCTGAGGTGGGAGGATCGCTTAAGCCTGGGAGGTCGAGGCTGCAGCGGGCTGTGACTGCGCCATTGCACTCCAGCCTGGATGACAAGAGCAAGACCCCGTCTCAAAAAAAAAAAAAAAAAGAATTGCATTGTATGGTGGCTGGATAATTTATTTACCAGTTCTCTAGTGACGGACATTCTGGCTGTTTCCTTTCTCTTTTCCTTTTACAAGCAATGATGCAATTAACTATCTTGAAAAATGCATCATTTCACACATGTACAATTTATCTGTTAAGAGAAATTTCCAAAAGAGAAATTGCCCGTGCACTTTTAATTTTAATAACTATTGCCAGAATTTCCTCCATAAAAGTTGTACTGATTTACACCTCTATCAACAACTATGAGAGTATCTGTTCCCCACCAACACATCTCCACAGAAAACTTGTGTTTCTCTTATTGCTAGTGGGCTCTCACATTCTCATATGGTTCAGAACCTTTTCTGTGAACTGTCTGTGTTTTTAGCCTGCTTTAAAAATTTGGTTGATGGGCCAGGCGCAGTGGCTCATGCCTGTAATCCCAGCACTTTGGGAGGCTGAGGCGGGTGGATCACCTGAGGTCAAGAGTTCAAGACCAGCTTGACCAACATGGAGAAACCCCATCTCTACTAAAAGTACAAAATTAGCTGGGGTAGTGGTGCATGCCTGTAATCCCAGCTACTCAGGAGGCTGAGGCAGGAGAATCGCTTGAACCTGGAAGACAGAGGCTGCGGTGAGGCAAGATCGCGCCATTGTACTTCAGCCTGGGCAACAAGAGCAAAACTCCATCTCAAAAAAAAAAAAAAAAAAATTCAGTTGATGGTCTTTTTCTTAATGACTTGTAGGAACTCTTTAGATATTAAGGAAATGGAAATGAGCTCCATGATATATGTTGCAAAAATGCTTTCCCAATTTTGAGAACTGGGAGACTCCTTTGATTTTATGATGGATTCTGCCAAGAAGAAATTCTTTACTTGCATAGGGTCAAATATATTAATTTTTTCTCTTATGACTTCTGGGTTTTAAGTCATTCTTAGAAAGTACTTTCTCCAAGTTCATTTTTAAAAATATTTACCATCTTTAACCCAACTGAAATTTATTTTGTTTTAATGTGTTCGTTTTTTAGATGGCCATCTAGTTAAACCAGGTCATAATTTTTTAAATGCCATCTTTTTTTTTTTTTTTTTTTAAGAGATAGGGTCTCACTATGTTTCCCAGACTGGATTCAAACTCCCGGGTACAACTGATCCTCCCACCTCAGCCTCTAGTGTAGCTGGGATTACAGGAACACACCATCATGCCTGGTTCTGCCATCTTTATTTTATATTAACCCATCTTGAAGTCCCTTCTCCTTCCTCTCTTCCAACTCATGCCCAGTTACCTCAGAATTACACTCTTTCTTACCACAGCCCTCCCATCCCTTCATTCAATTTGTGAGTCAAGAGTTGATCCATGGTACTGTGACTGACAGCCACACAGCTGCATCGGATGTCAGTGTCTTAGAACAAGTAGAGACCTCAGAGCATCCTTTCATTTTACAGCTAAGGATACTGAGATCCAAAGAGGTAAACTGGCTTTGTCCAAGACCGGGGGTGCTTGGGCTTGTGATTTTTTTTTTTTTTATTACTATTCAAAAAGAAGAGAAGTACTGGTTTTGCCATAAATTCTATTTGATCAATAAATATCTATGAAACAACTACTCTGCACAACAGTGAGCCAGGAACTGGGGCTCCAGAAATAAATGATACAGCTCTGGGCTTTCAAAAAGCTCAGAATCCAGTGTGGGGTCCGAACGTGTACACTCACAGACTAATAGGTAATGCAACAGTGGCCTGTGAACGCTGTGAATGTGGAAAGACCAGATAATTTTGCAACATATGGTGTGGGGAAGGCTCAAGAGATACTGAGTTTTTAATTGGACCTGAAATGATTAGGACTTTGACCAAAAATCGAGAGAAGGCATTTGGCAATATAGCGACAATGGGACAAAGGAGAGCGTCTGGTGATATGTATTCAGGAAGGAAGTAATCTTAGTGTTAGCTGTGGGTGGAGTTTTAAAAAAAAGGTTCCTCTGAGAATCTGTGGTCATTGGCAGGCTCTTATGTGGGTTTAGGTTCTGGTTGTCAAAACTGCAAGCTAAGAATTATAGAGAAATGAATCCATCTGTAGGCCCTTCAGGTACCTAGCAGAAGGAAACACACATCCTCCCTGAGAAGGGACTCTCATCCTATACCTCAAAGAATTCTCACAGATAGAATCCTAATAAGCATAAGCTTGCAATCAAAAATCACACAACACCTGGCCAGGCACAGTGGTCACACCTGTAATACCAGTACTTTGGGAGGCCAAGGTGGGCAGATCACTTGAGGTCAGAAGTCCGAGACCAGCCTGGCCAACATGGTGAAACCCCATCTCTACTACAAATACAAAACTTAGCCAGGCATGGTGGTGGACACACCTGTAATCCCAGCTCCTCAGGAGACTGAGCCAGGAGAATCACTTGAACCCGGGGGAGGTGGAGGTTGCAGCAAGCCGAGATTGTGCCACTGCACTCCAGCCTGGGCAACAAGAATGAAACTCCATCTCAAATGAATAACTAAATAAATAAACAAACAAAAAGCAAAAATCACAGAACACCTAAGGAACACACCCTCATGAGTGGAAGTCAGCAGAAGCATCAAACAATACAACTATAATTGCAAATACTTTAGATATTAGATTTATTGGATACAGAATACAAAATAAACGTGTTTAATATGATTAAAGAAATAAAGTGAGGAATTAAAAAACACAAGGAGTAAGAGATTGTTTTTTAAAAGACCGAGCATATTTGAAAAATAATAAAATAGAAACCCAGAAATAAAAAAAAATAATCATTCACATTACAAGCTCAATGGATGAGCATCAAAAATAACAACTGCAATGGAGTAAAACACATTAGATATATTAAATCTATGAGTTAATATTGATATTAAAAATACCTCAGTGAAGGGCTAAACAGGGATTAGAGATAACTAAAGAGAGAATTAGTGACCTAGAAAACAAGAAATTACCCCTTCATTGCTCTGTTCATGGAAAAAAAAATTACCCTGAAAACACCCGGAATAAAAAAAGATTAAAAATGAAAAAGTTGGCCAGGCATGGAGGCTCACGCCTGTAATCCCAGCACTTTGGGAGGCCGAGGCGGGTGGATCACAAGGTCAGGGGATCGAGACTATCCTGGCTAACACGGTGAAACCCCGTCTCTACTAAAAATACAAAAAATCAGCCAGGTGTGGTGGCGGTTGCCTGTAGTCCAGGGGAATGGTGTGAACCCGGGGGGCGGAGCTTGCAGTGAGCCAAGATTGTGCCACTGCACTCCAGCCTGGGAGACAGAGCAAGACTACAAAAAAAAAAAAAAAAAAAAAAAAATGCACACTCAAAACAACCACAGAGAAGAATTTATCTAAGGGAACAATACTTGGGCTACCAACTTCTTTTTCTTTTTTTTTTTCTTTTGAGATGGAGTCTCCCTCTGTTGCCAGGCTGGAATGCAGTAGCGCCATCTCAGCTCACTGCAACCTCTACCTCCCGGGTTCAAGCGATTCTCATGCCTCAGCCTCCCGAGTAGCTGGGACTACAGGCACACGCCACCACACTTAGCTCATTTTTGTATTTTTAGTAGAAACAGGGTTTCACCATGTTGGCCAGGATTGTCGCAATCTCTTGACCTCATGATCCACCTGCCTCAGCCTCCCAAAGTGCTGGGGTTACGGGCGTGAGCCACCACGCCCAGCCCCCAGCTTCTTAATATCAACAATGAAAGCCTGAAGACAGTGGAATGACGCTTGTAAATACTGAGAAAATAATGGTCAGGCTAATGTTTTATACCCAGCAAAACTATCTTTTAAGAGTAAGGATGAAGCCATTATTATATATATTCTAGGCTAAAAAAAAGAAGAAGAAGAAAAAAAAGAATAAGGATGAAATAAGATTTCAGCCAAACGGACACTGAAAGCTTATGACTAAAAGACCTTTGCCACATGATGTTCTGATCCCAGAAAGAAGACCTGAGATGAAAGGGAAAATGTGAGTAAAAGGTAAATATGTGGAAAATAAAAACAAAGGATTAAGTGTATATAACATTATAATTAGAGTCCAATTTGTGGGATTAAAGACAGAAACATAAACCATTGTATGACAATGGAATGTGGGGAGGGACAGTGGTGACTTTATATAAAGCATTCTAAGGTCTTTACATTGTTTGAAAAAAATATATAGACACCAACTGAACATTACACAGTCTGCCTTTCAGGCCAGGCACGGTGGCTCACACCTGTAATCCCAACACTCTGGGAGGCCGTGGCAGGAGCATGGGTTGAGGCCAGGAGTTCGAGACCAGCCTGGGCAACATAGCCAGAACTGCCTCTAAAAAATAAAACCAGCCAGGAGTGGTGGTTCCATGCCTGTAGTCCCAACTACTCAGGAGGCTAGGCCGGGCGCAGTGGCTCACGCCTGTAATCCCAGCACTTTGGGAGGCCGAGATGGGTGGATCACGTGAGGTCAGGAGTTCAAGACCAGCCTGGGCAACATGGTGAAACCCCATCTCTACTAAAATACAAAGATTAGCCAGGCATGGTGGCACATGCCTGTAATCCCAGCTATTTGGGAGGCTGAGGCAGGAGAATTACTTGAACCCAGGAGGCAGAGGGTGCAGTGAGCCGAGATTGCACCATTGCACTCCAGCCTGAGCAACAGAGTGAGACTCCGTCTCAAAAAAAAAAAAAAAAAAAACAAAAAACCAACAACAATAAAAAACAGAAGTTCAAATTCAAGGCCAACTACTCAAGAGGCTGAGGAGAGAGAATTACTTGAGCCCAGTAAATCAAGGTTACAGTAAGCTATGATCCTGCCACTACACTCCCACCTGGGTGACACAGCAAGATCCTTTCTCTAAAAATAAAAAATTTTTAAAAAGAGTATATGAGTTTCAAAGCAGTAGAGAAAAAACGGACTGAAGGAAAGAAAAAAATCTTTCAATCAATTCAAAAGAATGAACAGAAGAATCAGAAAAAGAACACATAGAAAACACCAAATACGATGGTAGAAAGAAATCTGCATCCTGTTTTGGCCAGGTGCGGTGGCTCACACTGTAATCCCAGCGCTATGGGAGGCTGAGGCAAGTGGATAGCCTGAGCTCAGGGTTCAAGACCAGCCTGGGCAACATGGAAAAACCCCATCTCTACAAAAAATAAAAAAAATAAAAATTAGCCAGCTGTGGTGGTGCATGCCTGTGGTCCCAGCTACTTGGGAGGCGGAGGTGGGAGGATCACTTGAGCCTAGGAGGCGGAGGTTGCAGTGAGCTGAGATCTGCCACTGCACTCCAGCCGAGGTGACAGAGTGAGACCCTGTCTCAAAAAAAAGAAATCCATCTATTTCCAAAACCATAACAAATGCAAATGGCTTGAACTCTCTGGTTAAAGAGCACAGATATCAGACTAGATTAAAAACAAAAGGAAATCCAGCCCTAGGCTGTCTACAGGAGACATGAGGACAGGGATCATAGGCCAAGAGTCCTATACAGGCTGAAACCACAGTCATGGTAGGTAAGCAAGTAGCAATGAACTGTGGCCAAGGCACCAAAGCATAGCAACAGGAAAGAATGGTACAAAAAAACAGATGAGAGAGGTAGGAAAAGGACCCAGAGTGATGAGCCAGACCCAAGGTGGAGAAGACTATTCATGACAATAACTGCTATGGAGAAGTCAGGTAAGAGGAAGTCACAAGATGGGCCACCGGGCAGTCAGGTAAGAGGAAGTCACACAAGATGGGCCACTGGGCATGAGTAGGTGGCCAGGGACCTCTAGGAGAGCCAGCTGGAGTGAGAGTGGGCTGGGCTGAAACGCTCCACTGTTGTTGAGCTGGCAAGGAGAAGAGGGGGAGAGAGGAAGTGGGGACAGAGTGGACTCTTCTTTGTGAAATCCTAGGGTAAAGAGAAGTGACACAGGTTGGGGTTGGGGAGGGAGAGAGAGGTGTGACTGTAGCTGTAGGTAGAGAATTAAGGCATAGGAGGATGTGGGGTGCCCAGACCTAGGGAGGAAGCCAGGGCAGGACACAGAGGAACAAGCAGTGGGGCTGATGGTGGGCACATGGGGAATGGACCAGGGAAGTGGGCACAGATTTCCCAGGTTGGGGCAGGGGTGGGCAGGGCTGCTTCAAGGAGTGCTGTGTAGTGGGAGGACAGGAAGAGTTCTGAATTTCAGAGGTGACCTGCTTCTGGGTAATGGCAAGTCTACAGTCTTGTGATTTGCAGCTACAGAATGGAGCCACGATGGGAAGCGATGGCTTGTGAGCCCAGGGCCCGAGGATCGGACATCACAGAGTGAGATTAAACTGACCAGCACTACCAGCTTCCAAAGGGTACCTGATGCTTCTCAAGGGGCCAGCTTGGACTTGGTCCTTGCGAGGACATTCTGATGTGCCCCAGGTTTTAGCCGTTGTCTTTTACCAAACACATGCAGGACAGTCTTCCCAGTCTGGAAGCCCATATCCTTGCAGTCCCACCGAGAACGGGATGGGGTCCGGGATGGCATTTCAGGTACCATCCAGAAGACAAAAACACACATAACCAAGAGTTATCACAAAAGTTATAGTTTCCCATTTAAATGCGGAGGGTGGACATTCCTGCTTTCTGTAGTGACCATTCTAACTTCATTTCGATTCCATATATATAACATGCTGGGGGCAGGGAAAGAAGAAAGGGAAAATAGTTGGGTCGCAATATGATCACTTATTCTCAGCTTCCGACTACACTAAAAATCCTCACATTTCCAACAGTTTTCTTAGTTCTCCCAGAAATAAACACACAATAGAGCATATGTATTTAATATCAGAAAATCCTTTACAATGGTGATTGCGAAAGAGACCAACCCACTTCTTTTCTTTTTTTTTTTGAGACAGGGTTTTCAGGCTGGAGTACACTGAGGCCATCATAGCTCACTGCAGCCTCAACCTCCTGGGCTCAAGCGATCCTCCCACCTCAGTCTCTTAAGTAGCTGGGACTACAGCTACACGTGCCACCGACTGATTTATAAAACTTTTTTGTAGAGACAGGGTCTCACTATGTTGCCCAGGCTGTTCTCAAACTCCTGGGCTCAAGCAATCCTCCTGCCTGGGCCTCCCAAAGTCCTGTGATTACAGGCATGAGCCACTGTGCCCGGCCTCCAACCCACTTCTAATAGTTCTTTTACTTCATGTATATATATATACATATATATATATGTATATATATATATACACACACACACACACACGTATACTATATACATATATACACATATACATATATATACACATATGTACTATACATATATATATACTACATGTATATAATAAAGATAATACATACTGGATAAAAATTCAAACAACACAAAATGAATGAGAGAAAAGACAAAAGGCCTCTGTACTTGGGGTAGGCACTAGGGATGGGGGAAGGGTCAGGTCTGTGAGCCATACACATTAATTAGTAGGTAATAAAAAACAGTTGTTTTACCTTTTGAAGCTGCTGATTCAACATATATTTGGCTGTGCTTTGGCTGTAACATCCTTTAATCCCTCCCTTTCAGAATCTACCCCAATTTCCTGTTGCCACCTTACCTCCCTGATTTAAGGGTGCAATTCTTCAAGTGCCTTCTTTCCAATTCTAGAATTTTTAATTTAGCCTTTGGTGCGGCAGCAGTTTTGTTTTCTAATTACTTTCTTTGCAAACAAGCATGAGTTGGGCCCAACAGTGATACAGGCTTTCATGGGCTAGCCTGGCAACCTGGAGCTATTCACAAGGTGCTTCCTTGGGAAAATGCTTTCTATGTTTTACATGAACAACTGGGGAGATGCTTACTTGTAAAGTGGGGGTGGGGGTGAGCCTCTTCATCTGTGCTACCAAAAAAGAGCTCGCCCCTAGTCCTGCTTGCCCTGTTACTAGGGTAGGCTTTGCAACCAGCGACTCTGGGACCCCAGTGCCTGGGTTCTAATCCTGGCTCTGAGGCTTACTAGATCTGTGACCTCCAGAAAGGTATTCAACCTAAATGAGCTAACAGTATGTATAAAGTGTTTACAATTATGCCTGGCATATCGCATGTGCTGTATAACAAGAGAGTTGGGTGAGGTTAGTCCAGTAAGACATTTGACAAATTCTTAGAGCCGCAATCTCCCTTGAGGCCAGTGAAAGCTACGGCTCCTCTTCCCAGAAAAGTGCACACATGTAACCTTCTGCACAGTTTCAAGTACCCCTGACCCTTGAAGCCCACCCACACACTGCAAGAGTCCAGGACCCCTGATTTCAACCGTCTGGTCTTCTCTACAGTGATGTGAAGGTCTCAGGGATAAAACTCTGAGGCAATTCTTAAAAGTATTATGTTCCCATGCATGGAACTATTGAGCAGGTGCCTCTCTCTCCCCGTTTTAGGTTCCGCTTTTGGCAGAAACGTTACACCTTTCCTCCCCAAAGCCCTTTTGACCCTTGCCAGTTTTTCTCTTGCTTCAGGCCAAATCCTCCCAGGGTCACCTTAAGACAATCTCTGTGTGCAGCTCCACACACTTTTAGGGAATTATTCTGATCCTTATCAAAAGCTCTGATGGTTCAGCCCATCTTCAGTGCTTACAGAAGTCAGACCAGAGCATGGACTAGAGTCTGCAGGGTCTCCATCAACAGCAACACAGGGGTGGGTCACCCTCAACAAGCAGGTAGACAGCACAAACTGGAAAAAGCCAAACATCAGAGAAGTCACCCCAGGGTGACTTTCCCAGCGTCACCCAATGAGCTCCCAGCAAAGCTGAGAACCTGTCATTTCAGTACTTTTGAGTCCATCAGTGCTTTACAGACATTACCATGCATGTGAATTAAAATGCAGATCCAGTAGGTTTGCTGAGGAGCCCAGGGCTCTGCATCTCTAACTCACTACCAGGTAACGCTGATGCTGGTCCATGGACCACATATGGAGTGGCAAGGTTCACATCAAGGTTAATGAACTGTACCACCCTGGTTAAAGCCTCTTCATCCACACTGCAGGTGGCTATTTAAATGTCCTTTCTTCAGGAAAGCCTCCCCTCCCCCTCTCCATGATTACTGGCTTCTATGCCTCTGTACTTTTTCCTTTGAAGCATTTATAACCACTGTAATTAAAGAGTATTTGTGTAATTATTAGTTTAATGCCTGCCTCCCAGGGAGACTGCAAGCTTCACGAGGACGGGACCTGCACAGTGTCTAGCACATCACAGACTGCCAATGAATGAGGAGCTGCTGTGGTCTGGAACAGGCTGGGCCAGCATCCTGGAGCAGGCAGGTAATGTTTACACATGTGGCAAACAGCCTCTGGTGGTATCAAGGCCAAAAAGGACATTTCTTAGTTTTAAAATTCCCACTAGTTTCAAATATATGCCAACTAAACTTTAACCTGAAAAGCAATCTTTGCCCATAAAAAGATCTCCTACATCTTTATCAAGTGCAAAATAGCCCTAATCTCACAACAGCCACTCTGCTTGAGGAACAGTTAGGCCCCTAAAATAAGCATTCCCTTATAGGCCTCACTGGGTGAACCCTCTTCAGGCACACTCCCTGACCAGCCTCCCTCTGCTGCAGACCCACAATTTCTTCTTTAGTTTTTCTGCTGCTGTCCTTCCAAGGAACCCCAAAGTGCTGAACGCCCAACTCTTTGGCATGGGCAGAGACATATGACCACATCATCGTTCCTGAGAGGCAAAGTTTGAAGTTAGACAGCCTGGGTTTAGATACCAGCTCTGTGCCCTTGGACAAGTTATTTAACTCCTCTGCCAAATGAGGATAAGAATGCAAGAGCCAGCACCTGCAAGAACTAAGAGAGACAAATACACAAAGCACGTAGCATAATTCTGGCCTAAGACACATGATTATTATTATTCTCCCTATATTCTGAGTCCAATTCAAAACCTATTGTTTTAGGCCGGGTGCAGTGGCTCACGCCTGTAATCCCAGCACTTTGGGAGGCCGAGGCGGGCAGATCACGAGGTGAAGAGATCGAGACCATCCTGGCCAACCTGGTGAAACCCCGTCTCTACTAAAAATATAAAAATTAGGCTGGGTGTAGTGGCGCATGCCTGTAGTCCCAGCTACTCAGGAGGCTGAGGCAGGAGAATCGCTTGAAGCCAGGAGGCGAAGGTTGCAGTGAGCTGAGATCGCGCCACTGCACTCCAGCCTGGTGAAAGAGTGAGACTCCGTCTCAAAAAAAGAAAAAAAAAATCTAAAAAAACCTATTGTTTTGCACAAGTCTCCACCCAGGGGCTCCACCCCATTCAGGATCCTCTCTTCCCAGCCCCCTCCTGCCTCACCTGTCTGGAGCTTGTTTGAAGCAATGACTCACAGCACAACTCTGCAGCTCCCATCAATCACCTCCCTGTCCCTGCCTGTGTCATTCATGGGTTCCTTCTGGCAGGCAAATCTTCCCTAATGTCCAGTACATTCATTCAGCAAGTATCTACTGAGGGCCCACTATAGATCAGACCCTATTCTAGGCACAGGGGCTCCGCAATGAACAAAGCAAAGACGTCTACCCTCACAAACGTTCTAGTACATTTAACCCACAGATGGAAATCAGTTCAGGTCTTGGGTCCTTACACTCCTTCTCTTCTCTCCTGACCAATCCTAAATAAATCACATACAAGTCAAAGTATGAAGAAAGCATTCCAGATCAAAAAATGGTGTGATGTGAGAAAATCCCGATGACTAAACTGCTTCTCTGATTGTTGGACTTTGAAGAAGTCAGTGTTGAAACAGCCTGAATCACCCAGTTCCCCCTAGTTGTCTCACTGGCCAGTCACATCCTCCAGCACAGTTTCTGTAACACATCTGGAAAATGAGGCGCTCCATTTACCCAACTCGTGTGCGGCGTGAGCGCACGGTTTCATGCTCTCATAGCTACATTCTTTGAAGTGAGCTTGATTCGGGATCCCCAGCAGTAGCAGAGACAGTGGCCTTGTAGAAACAGCACTGGGAACAGGCTCTGAAAGCTCAGGTTGAGTGCTGGCTCTGCCACTTACTGTGTAATCCTGGGTACAGAGCTTTCTTCCTGCCTCAGTTGCTTTCAGACAATCTCTAAGGCCTTCTTCCAGCTTTGAAGTCAAAGGGCTGGGAGCAAGCACCATTAACAGCAGGCCCAGCACATTCACAGATTCCTTATTTCAACATAATGAGTCCTGCCGCGGGCTAGGCCCTGGCTAGGCCTGAGGAACGAGGGTATGGGAGGGGTCAGCAAGCCAGATTATGAGCCTGCGCCAAGCATCAGCACTGGTGGGGCCAGGGAGCTGACTTCACTTGTCTCCTCCAAGATGCGCTGGACTCCTCCTTTATTTATTTATTTACTCCCTTCTAGAAAGAAGTTGTGCTTCTTTCCAAACACAACTCTGCTAGAAATATCTCTGGGCCACAAGGCAAACCTAAAATAGAAGTGCAAAATCTCTGGTGGTCCCATTAGTCTCCCTTCCTCCAACTCAAAAACCATTCCAGACCTTGTCTGTCTCCTTGTCTCTAGACAGTGAGCCTAAAATAAGTCTCCCTGGTAGGAAATGCCTGGTTGGAATGGAAATGACCCAAGCCCTGGAAAAATGGCCCGCTGACCACACACCGTGGGCTGAGGACTCACCCAGGTATCAGCTCTGAGAAGACAAGCAAGTGAGCCCGCGTCCCACTTCAACTCACTGCAGCCCCCTCCACCAAGACACAGGCAACCAGGCCAGGCTGGAGGAAGAAAATGTGACCCAAACATCCAATTCCCCCTACCCAAAAGAAAGCAGCTCTATCCCCACGGCCCTCATGCAGGAAAGCCAGCTCCAGAAGGTCACTGGGGCACCAGGTGGGCACCTCTCTGGAGCTACAGATGACCGATCAGAGGTTCTGCTCCGAGACTGGCAGGTACCCAGCACAGTTACCCTGGCCTGAGGGTCAGCTAATAAAACCAATGAGAAAGTATAGAAAATAACATTCTCTTTAAAACAAATGAGAAAGGAATGGCCACTCTAGGTTTTCAGAAGTCAAAACCAGATAGCCCCATCGGCTTTGATCACATTAGGAATACACTGTCTCTTATCTAACGAGTTAAGAACGGTTTTCTTCTTCCCTTCTCCCACGTGGCCCCATTGGTTCTCTAGGCCCCCTGGTGAAGATGCAATAGGGACACAGACCCCCAGCCCTCTACTTGGCAGAAATGAACTTTGACTGGTTTTACTTACACGTGTACAAATGCAGGACTGAGAGGGCAGCTTCAAAGCTGGCTGAGTGACCCCCAAGAGCACAAAGTCCTTCTCCGCACACCTGTGGGGGAGTTTTGTGAATTTCCCAGATGCCCACAGGGACTAGTTATGTACACTGCAGGTCGATACCGGCCGGGAGTTTCCATTTTGCACAGCAAGAAAGGTGCTCAGGGTGCCCTTTGCAGGTGGGCACTCGGCCTGCAGCTCAAGGGTGGGCCATGACGTTGGTCCCTCACTGGATTGCCCGGCAGGCCTCCCTCAGACCCAGTAGGACGAGTACCTCGAAGAGTCCTTGTGATCCCAGCACTTTGGGAGGCCGGGGCGGGCGGATCACGAGGTCAGGAGTTTGAGACCAGCCTGGCCAATATGGTGAAACCCCGTCTCTCCTAAAAATAATTAAAAATTAAACGGGCGTGGTGGCGTGCGCCTGTAGTCCCAGCTATTGGGGAGGTTGAGGCAGGAGAATCGCTTGAACCCGGGAGACGGAGGCTGCAGTGAGCCGAGATCGCGCCACTGCACTCCAGCCTGGGCGACAGAGCAAGACTCCATATCAAGAAAAAAGAAAAGGCACCCCGGATACTGCTACGCCTTGCCCTAACCGTCTCGCAAATCCTAGAGATACATGAATGACCCTTTCAGGTTGGTTAAAATCCACACAAGCACCTCCCTGGCCTCTTAAATCTTTCCAAACTACAGCTTAGACTGGAGGGAAGCAGTTGCAGCGCCCATAAAAGTCATCTTAAAAGGCAAGTTGGAAAAAAACCCGATACGCACTAGTTAGCAAGTCCGCGGTGAAGGGGGCGGTGGCCCAAGGGCCGGATCTGCGGGATCTGTGCGCCTAGGGTGGGGAGGCTGGGGCTGCCCCGTCGGTCCCCGAGCCCGCGCGCCCACCTGGTAGCCTGAGGGCCCCGATCTGACGCTGGTGCTCACGCCCCACAGCTCCATCCAATTAGGAAAATGACCGCGAGAAGACGGAGAGAGGGCGACGAGGAGGAAGGGGGGCTGAGCCGCGGGAGGCTCAAGACGGGCCGTAGGGACCCCGCCCGCCACCCCCACCCCCACGCCCCCAGACAGCGAGCGCCGGTCCTGGGTCCCCGGCCCGCGGCGCCCCGACGCTGTCCCGGCGGAGATCCCGCGGCGCCCAGCGTGCGGCGGCCAGTGGCCCTCGGGGACGCCCCCAGCCCCGCCAGCGGCGCGCTCAGCTCTCCCCCACCCCCGGCCGGCTGGGACGCGCAACAACCCCACCCGCTCCGAGAATAAAGTTTGTGGGCAGCCGTAGGGGCGGGGCGGCGAGGGGGTGAAACTTTGAGTCCCGGGCCGGGTGTGGGGGGAGCGCACCCAGCACCGGGACACCCACGTGCGGGCCCGAGAGCCTCCGCCACCGTCGCCTCCCGGGCCTCCCGCGCCGCCGCCGCCGCCGCCGCGACGCTTTCCTTTCATTTTTGCCTCTCTCTCTCTCTCTCTCTCTCTCTCTCTCATTCGCGCGCTCTCCTCCCTCTCGCCCTCTTTCGCTCGCTCCCTCCCTCTCCCTTCCCCCTCCCCCTCCTCTCCCTCCCCCCCACCCCAGACGCCATCTCTCCCTCTTTCCCCGGCTCTCCCTCTCTCCCTCCAGCTCTCCGGCATGAGGGAATGTGGAAGTGAAAGGAAAAGACGACATGTTTGCAGCGCGGCGCGGGCCTGCGCGCGGCCGTCCCCAGGGAGAGGCGGGGGGCGGGTCGGCCGCGGCCGCAGCGACCCACCCCCGCGCCCCCCGCGCCCCCGCCGGCCGGCAGCGCGGGGCTGCGGGGCTGGGGCTGGGGCTGGGGCGGGGGGCCGCGCGGGACACTCACCCTGGGTCCGGGCGCGGCTCCTGCGCTGGGGCCCTCGGCGGGCCGGGCCGGGCCGGGCCGGGGGCTCCTGGCTGCCCACCGCCCGGGCTGCTGCTGTGCGCCCGCCGCCCGCCTCCACGCGCGCCCGCCGCCTGCTCCTGCCGCCCTCCCTCCGGCTCCTCTCTTTCTCTCTCTCCCCCCTCCTCTCGCTCGCTCTCTCGCTCGCGCTCTCTCCCTCCCTGGAAGAAGGGAATGAGGCAGGGCTGACGTGAAGGGATGCAAAACAGCTCCTCCTAAGCCAGCTCGCAGAGGAAGAGAGAGACAGAAAAGCAGCCCTTTTATCTCTCTTTTGTTTTCTCACTTCCTTCCACCCCCAACACCTCCCTCTTGTCAGCCCAAGTTTTCTTTTCTCTTTCTACCGCAGAGGATTTTTCTTCCTTTCTTTCTCTTTCTTTCGGTTCAACTCTCCCACTCGAATTGAAAGCCTGAAGGGTTTTCTTTCTCCTGTTTTTTTCTTCCCTCTTTTCTTCCTTCTTCCTCCTTTCTTATTTCTCTAAAAGGGTTTTGTTTGCTGTGGGAGTTTCGTTTGAAAATCAAGTCACGCCTTTTTTCCTTCTTTTCTTTCTTTCTCTCTCTCTCTTTTTTTTTTCTCCTCTCAGCAGAAAAGGGGAACAAAGATTAACTGAAGCGGGGAAGAGGCAGACCTCGCTTGGAAATGGGGGGCCCGGCCCTGTCCGGTACAAAGGGGGCCCGGGGGCCCTGCGCCCCGCCCCCCCCAAGGGAAGCCAGGGGCGTCCTCTGGAGAGGAGAGCCGGTGCGGGTGTTGGGGCACGGGTGCGGCTCCTGGGTGCCGGTTCCTTCCCAAGTGCGAGCGAGGGCCGCCGAGCCCGCCCCTCCCCAGCCAGAGGTGGCAAGCTGGGTGTGTGTGCTTCACTTATGTATTTTTAAAGTAGGCAGATGGGCCTGGAACAAACATCCCCGCAGAGCACTGAACAGCAAAAGCCTTTAAACAGCTGTTAGCAGAGCCCTGGACGGCCTGACTCGAGGGAGCGGCGCGGGCTCCGAGCGCCAGGGCCCGGGTGGAGAAGGGGCTCAGGGCAGCTGCTGGGATCGGCGGGCTGGCGGGGTCCCCGAGCCCAGGGCCTGGGCCTCGGCCCCGGGGCGCACTGCTGGGGGGCGCCGAGGCGTGGTCGCTGGCAGCGCGGCCGTCAGGTCCCTCTCGGCTCCCTGAGGGGCCGCGGGGTTTGGCACAGCCTCGCCGCCCTCCAGCTCCGGCGCAGGCCGGACACCAGGCCTCCAACCTCCAGAACACCCGCCACTCCGAGCCGTTTCTCGACTGCAACGCAGGGCGGGTCCGGAGCCCTCGGACAGAGCCGGGCAGTGCCGCCAGGAAGGGTCAATTATTCATGGGGCGCCCGGGCGTGCTCCCAAGACCTGCTCTGTCCTCGGGTTCTCCGGAGGAGTGGGGAGAAGACGGGGGAAAGTTCCCAAAGCAAAGTTGGTCACATTTGTCATTTTCCCAAGTAAGTATTGAGCACCTGCTGGATGCCGGGCCCTCGGACTGGGGCTGCAGCCAGGGGGAGAAACGTGAGGTCTCGGTGGGCCCCGAGAGCAAACTCAGGGAACAATGCAAGGGAAGCTGCGGCTCAGGACCAGGTCACCGGGAGGAAGGAAAGCCTGGATCCTCTCCCCTCCCTCTTCCCTTCCTTCCCTTCCCTTCCTTCCTCCCGGCTGCATCTCCTTGGCTCCACCCCTTCTCCTCATCAATTCCTCCCACACTTCCCTGCTCTCCCTGGCTTTTCACTGAAGGGTCCCTTCTCCCAGGGAGGAGCAGATGCTGAGCCCCATTGTCTCTCCCCCAGTGACTGCAGCCTCCCGGGGACACGACCTGCCACTCCTCACCCCTCCCCCCAGCCCTGAGCCCTGGGCCTTTAGAAACGAGAGCCCCAAGGCCACGGCCCCTCGCCCCACCCTAAACCAGCTCCTGGTGCTCTGAGCTATGACTCCAGTCACTCAGAACACATTTGTCTCTGACGAGGAGTGAGGAAACAGTAGCCTGAGAGTTTGGTTCAACAAGAAGGACACCATGGTCTTTTAACATCAGCACCCTGAGCCCCCAATGACCCCAGGGCCTTTGCCCAGGTCTGCAGGAAACCACATTTCCGTCATCACTTGCAGCCTCCCACTTAGTACACCCAAGCTGCATCCTCCAAAAAAGCAGAATGCAGCTCTTAGAGCCAAGCATGCACTTAACAAATGCCTACTGAGTACCTACCCCGTGCCGGCGAAGGTGCTGGCTGCTGAGGACCGAATCATCAGCAAGACGCAGTCCTTGCTTTGGCCTTTGGCTTTGCAGGCGAAGGAGCAAGAAAAGAAGACAGCAACCTCAGTGCCATGCGATACAGGCAAGAGTGAACCAAGAAAGCTCCTAAGAGGGTGCTTGGACTAAGGTGGTCAGGTGTGGCTTCCTGGAGGAGGTCGTGTCTAGATTAGGCTGTGCTAGCCAAATGCATGGGAGAGAACAGTCTGTCCAAAGGCCCCAGGGCAAGACGGCACATTATTACAGGTTCTTAGAACTGTCAAGAGTTGAAGTGTTTACTGCAGCTTAGAATACAAGTGGGTGGGGGGAGAGTGAGGATAGAGCACAAGTGGGAAAAAGGGGAGGGTGTCAGGGAAATATTCAGATTTTAGCCCCTCCCACTTGCTAACTTCATGAATGTAAATGAATAACATAACTTCAGTGAATAACTTCGACTTAATTTCGGGACATATAAAATGCAGGTAAGAAGACCTGTGGATTGCAGAGACAGTGTCTTAGTTTAAGGGCCCAGGCTTACCTGCTGCATATTCCTGGGCAAGTCAACCTCTCTAACTTTTCTGTAAAATAGGGATAAAAATACCTGCTTCACAGTTTGTTGTGAGGCTCAAACCCCACACCTAGCATGGTGTCCGGTACATAAGCACCAATCCCCGGTAGCTTTTATTTACTATTACTACAAATCAGGGAGTGACTGGGTAGTGCCCCGATGACCTGGAAATAAGATTACGTTCAGGGTTGAAACCAGAGTGACTCACCACACCAGAAACATGATGAGCTGACTGAGGGGGAAGCATTCCTTCAAAGATGACCAGTGTCCCACTGGGAGGCTGGGATTGGTGAACACCACATCCGATCAAGATGGCCAGGTGGCTTCTCAGGAACATGACCAGAGCTTGATGACTGGTTATCAAGGCCCAGCCTGATCAGCAGAGTTGTAGCCTGCCTGAGGAACAAATAGGAATCAGGAGAGGATGGGCCTCATGAAATCCAGGAAGGCCCCTGGGAGCAGGCACCTGGCTATGTTTGCTCAGGAGAGAGACGTAATCACAGAAGTTTGCACTGGAGGAGCAGGGGAGGGATAGGGGGTGATTATTGACTTCTCCACAACGTGATTTAAAGCTCCCAAAACCTCTTAGTCCTTTGGTTGGATTATTGGTTCTCCAAGTGACCTGCACATGAACTTGGCACCAGCCAAATGCCCTCAAGGATCCAGGCAGATACCACAGCTCCAGTTCCTGCTTTGTAAACATTTTACACTTCTATTATTTCTTTCGTGAGTGGGAGTCTCGCTCTGTCACCCATGCTGGAGTGCAGTGGCACGATCTTGGCTCACTGCAACCTCCGCCTCCTGGGTTCAAGCGATTCTCTTGCCTCAGCCTCTCGAGTAGCTGGGATTACAGGTATGTGCCACCACACCCAGCTAATTTTTTTTTTATTTTTAGTAGAGACAGGGTTTTGCCCTGTTGACCAGGCTGGTCTCAAACTCCTGACCTCAGGGGATCTGCCTGCCTCGGCCTCCCAAAGTGCTAGGATTACAGGCATGAGCCACTGCGCCCAGCCCTCTGTTATTTCTTTACAACACAAGTTCATTGTGAAAGAATTCGAAAACGAACCCTATCTAGAGACATATTTCGGTGTATATCCTTGGACATTTTATATCCTAGTGGCTACATGTAAGTGCACACCATAATAAAACTGTACAAAGTCAATATCATTAAGCAAATGATGACTCTATGTATAAGCATGTTATTTTTACAAAATTAACAAAAATGGCATAACACTACACCTACTGAATTGCAGCTACTTTCACCCGGTATATGTCACAAATTATCTTCTGGTCTGTAAACATCCACATTCTTCTTTGGATACAGGGTCTTGCTCTGTCAGCCAGGTTGGATTACAGTGGCATGATCATAGCTCACTGCAGCCTCGAACTTCTGGGCTCAAGCCATCCTCCCACCTCAACCTCCCGAGTAACTAGGGTTACATTTGTGTGCCACCATGCTCGGCTGTATTTTTTCTTTTTGTTTTTTGGTACAGACTGGGTCTTGCTATGTTGCCCAGGCTGGTCTCGAACTCCTAGGTTCAAGCAATCCTCCTGCCTCAGCCTCTCAAAGTGTGGGGATTACTGGCATAAGCCACCTCACCCAGCCCACATTGTCATTCTTAGTGAATGATATTATTCCATGGTATGTGTGTATCTTAATTTGTTTAAACAAATTGTTAGACTCATGGGATGTTTGCAGGTTTTTCGCTTTTATGAACCTGCTTTGATAAACATACCTGTACAGCCACCTTAGTGCGAGGCTGGGCTAAGCACTTTATTTGAGGTAGGTGTCATTATCATTTTACAGAGGAGGAGGCTGAGGCACCGAAAAGCTTAAAAACTTCCTAAGGTCACTACCATGGAGTGTCTGAGCCAGAATGTGTAGACAGGGTTTCCCTTTGGGAATTCTCTTTCAACATGTTTTCCCCTCTTTAGAGTCTCCTCCACTTTCCATACCAATTTCCTCTCTTACAGATTACCTCCCTGTGAGAACCTGTCTGGACAGGTGACCCACTTCCTTTTGTGACACCTTTTTAACTTAAATAATGCCCACCTTCTAGGGTTGTTGGGAGAAGTGGAAGCCGATAATATATGATGTGTAATGTATGATACTGTATTTTGTAAATTTCAAAGCCTATGTGAACGTTAGAAGGTCCCAGTGAGGCCCTAAGCTTGCAGACATCACTATTTAGCCAAATCTCCTGACTTGCCCAAACCCAGCAAGGAATCCTCCAGATTCACACCAGAAAGAAAGAAATCAGCTTTTTTGATACAAAAGCAGTAAATGGAGGTCTCCCCTGGGCATTTCAGAAGCCCCAAAGCTGCCTCCCTAGAGCTGAAATTCAAAGGTAGGTTTATAATTATAAGGTTTATTAATCCTGATTTCCCTGATAGAGGATACATTCCTGCTGCAGACCCTTCCAGGATGTTCTAGCCATCTCTGAGAATCCCAGGAATCTTGTAAGCTGAGAAAAGGGATGAAACACAGCTCTTCGACGTTTCAGTTGACATGTTCACTAGAGTAATTTGCTGGGAGATTAGCAGGTGATTATTAATATCTGCTTCTTTCATTGCCAGAACCAAACAAACATTTTAAAAGATATTATTGGCTTTGCAATATCTAATATTCAACTTTTAATATCAAGACTCCCAACAGGAATCCAGCCAATGAAAGGCGAGGACCCCAAGGTTCAACTAGACAGGCGCTGCAGAAAGCAGAGGTGGACCTAGGGCTCCTAAAAGGCTGGTCTTAGCGGAAATGGCATGGGGGTTGGGAACTGGTAGAGAGTCACTGAGAGCTAAGCTCTAAGTGCCCACAGAATATGCACTGGGCAGCAATTCAAAATCCTCAGAAGGACCGGGTGCAGTGGTTCACGCCTGTAATCCCAGCACTTTGGGAGGGTGAGGTGGGCGGATCACTTCAGGTCAGGAGTTCAAGACCAGCCTGGCCAACATGGTGAAACCCTGTCCCTACTAAAGATACAAAAATTAGCTGGGTGTGGTGGCATGCGCCTGTAGTCCCAGCTACTCGGGAGGCTGAGGCAGGAGAAATGCTTGAGCCTGGGAAACAGAGGTTGAAGTGAGCCGAGATCGCGCCACCGCACTGCAGCCTGGGTGACAAAGCAAGATCTTCTTAAAAAAAAATATTAAATTAAAATTAAAATTAAAAAATAAACAATAAAAAAAATCCTCAGAAGTATAGTAACAATTTAGGAATACTCAGGGTTTTTGGGGAAAACCCAAAGAAAGCATAAGTTTGTGTGGATAGATGGGATGAACATGTGACTTACAAATTATTAGTCCAGGAGTAATGAAAGGGTGCATGAAATAATCCACCTCCTCTGAGCTCCCCTTGTGATTGAGGGTGCACAGTTACATGGCTTTATTCCCATCATGGCTTGAACCAATTAGTTAATTAATCCTATACACATAAATTTAAGAATAGAAATATGCCAAAAGAAACATGGGTCATTACAACTGCCAGCTTCACCGAAGAGTTACAAATAAATTAAATGTAAAAGCCACAGTGATGATACTTATGGCTACAGGAGGGCAAATTGGTACAAAGCCTGGAAAATAATTGGATATGAAAGATCAAGAGAAGCTTAAAAATTTATACCCTTTGATTCAGTAACTCGAATTCTAGAAATCTGTTCTTGAGAGAAATAATCAGCAATGTGAACAAAGATGTGTTAAGCATGTTTATGAAAGTATTATTTATATTGGCAAAAGTTAAAAATAGGAAAAAAGAAGGAAAGAAAGAAGGAAATAATCTAAATATCCAAAAATGATGGAAATGTTTAAAGAAGTTATGGCATGAACATCTGATGTAATACTATATAAGCTATTAAAAATCATGTTTTTGAAGAATAATGACTTGGGAAGTGTTTGTAATATGCTGAGTGAAATATAAAATTGCATATGCATCAGAATTATATATATTTAAAATTTGGTATATACATGTATACTTATCCGGAAAAATGCATGTAAAATGCCTGGAAGAAAATATACAAGTTTTTAAAAAGTTATTTCTGGCTGGGCTCAGTGGCTTACACCTGTAATCCCAGCACTTTGGGATGCCAAGGTGGGCAGATCACGTGAGGTCAGGAGTTTGAAACCAGCCTGGCCAACATGGTGAAACCTCATCTCTACTAAAAATACGAAAAATTAGCCAGGTGTGGTGGTGCATGCCTGTTATCCCAGCTACTCAGGAGGCTGAGGCAGGAGAATCACTTGAACCCAGGAGGCAGAGGTTGTGGTGAGCCGAGATCACGCCATTACACTCCAGCCTGGGTGACAGAGTGAGACTCTATCTAAAAAAAAAAAAAAAAAAAAAGTTATTTCTGTTTCTTGAAATTATAGGTGATTTAATTTTCTTCTTTATCCCTTAGTGTACTTGCCCAACTTCTTTTTTGTTTCTTTTTCTTCCTTCCTTCCTTCTTTCTTTTTCTTTCTTTTCTCTCTCCTTCCTTCCTTTCTTTTTCTTTCTTTCGTTTTTAGAGACAGGGTATTGCTCTGTCACCCAGGCTGTAGTGCAGTGACACAATCCTGGCTCACTGCAGCCTTGAACTCCTGGGCTCCAGCAGTCCTCCTGCCTTGGCCTCCCAAAGTGCTGGGATTATAGGCATGAGCTATCACGGCTGGCCCTATTTGCCAAATTTCTATAATTATTATATATTTTTTCTCTTTCTTGAGCAAGGTGTATTTATTTTTCATTTTTCCTCTCCTGGATTATTAAGGTATAATTGGCATAAAAAAATACACATAATTAATATATACAATCTGTGAGTTTGGACGTATGTATATACTCCTGTGACAGTCACCACAGTTAGTATATCCATCACCTCCAAAAGTTTCCTTGAACCCCTTTGTTGTTCGTTTTGTTTGTTTGATTGTTTGTTTCTGTGGTAAGAATGATTATATTAATTTTGAACAATAAATTATATATTTAGGAAACAAGGTCTAGGCTTATGGTTCACTTCAGAGTCAATGGTGAGAAGACCTAGGCCAGGCCTTCAAGGAGCTTCCAATCTTCAGGAGAAACAGCCATGCAAACAGAAGTGATGCTGCAGAGTGCAATTATTTCTCCTCCCTTGGAAATGTTTGAAACCTAGGAGGAAAGAGGAACCAGCGTTTTGGTTGCTGATGATTTGGGCTCTGGGTTGAATAGACTATCTATTGTGAAAGTGTATTGTGCAAAAAGAGAATAGAGCTTTTTGTGAAGGGAGATAAAGAGGGTGTAGGGTGGGAATGAGGAGGATGGGGAAGGAGGGGGCAGGGCCAGGCAGATCCCTGAGAGGCCTGGAAGCACTTATCCTGTGGGTGGACTTCAGGGCTGCCCAAAAGTCCCTCCAAGTTGTCCTCCCCACACTGCACATGGGTCTTGGTGTCCAGGGCCAGCCTGGTAGCTGGCATCACATTCATGACAGGAGTTCAGTAAATGTTTATTGCCCATAAGAATACATGAATGTGGCTCACACCTGTGATCCCAGCACTTTGAGAGGCCGAGGCGGGTGGATCACAAGGTCCGGAGATCGAGACCATCCTGGCTAACATGGTGAAACCTTGTCTCTACTAAAAATACAAAAAATTAGCCAGGCATGGTGGTGGGCACCTGTAGTCCCAGCTACTCGGGAGGCTGAGGCAGGAGAATGGCGTGTACCCGGGAGGTGGAGCTTGCAGTGAGCCGAGATCACGCTACTGCACTCCAGCCTGGGCAACATAGCGAGACTCTGTCTCGAAAAAAAAAAAAAAAAAAAAGAACACGTGATACATGAATAAAGGCTGGGTGCAGTGGCTCACACCTGTGATCCCAGCACTTTGGGAGGCCGAGGCAGGCAGATCACAAGGTCAGGAGTTCGAGACCAGCCTGACCAACGTGGTGAAACCCCGTCTCCACTAAAAATACAAAAATTAGCCAGGCGTGGTGGCGTGCGTCTGTAATCCCAGCCACTCAGGAGGCTGAGGCAGGAGAATCACTTGAACTCAGGAGGCGGAGGTTGCAGTGAACTGAGATCGTACCACTGCACTCCAGCCTGGAGGATAGAGTGAGACTCCATTTAAAAAAAAAAAAAAAAAGAATGCACGAATGAATGAACATGTAACATCAGGAATCACTCCCATGATTTCTTTTAAGGCATTAATAAAACAGTCTGAAAGACTGTGAAGCTGTGATGATGGGCAAGACAGGAGGGGAATTTAGCCTTTTTTGGGGGGACATGGTCTCACTCCGTCTCCCAGGCTGAAGTGCAGTGGTGCAATCACAGCTTATTGCAGTCTCGACCTCCTGGGCTCAAGCCATCCTGCCATATCAGACTCCTCAGTAGTTGGGACTGCAGGTGCACGCCCAGCTAATTTTTTATTTTTTGTAGAGACAGGATCTCACTTGTTGCCCAGGCTGGAGATATTTTCTTAAGTGAGAAATGGAGGTATAGAATGCCTGGCTATGCAGCAGCAGCACCATCTGGGCAGAGGGCGGAGAGGAATGCTGTAGGGTGAGGGTTTTGCCATGTTGAATCTTCAGACATGAATTCTCTTTTTGTCCCCTTCCTTTGCTTTTATTCTTCATTCAATCAACAAACATTTGTTGTGACCTGACGATGTACTGGCCACCATCAAGGGTCTCCCAGGCAACCAAGGATGACAGATGTACACTGACTTATACAGTAGCAGAAGAGGTGTATCCTCTCAGCTCTTCTCTGTAGGAAGGAGACCTTCCTGTAAGAGGTGATGTTTAGGCCGGGCACGGTGTCTCACGCCTGTAATCCCAGCACTCTGGGAGGCCAAGGCGGGCAGATCACGAGATCAGGAGCTCGAGACCAGCCTGACGAACATGGTGAAACCCCGTCTCTACTAAAAATACAAAAAATTAGCCTGGCGTGGTGGCGCGCCTGTAATCCCAGCCACTCAGGAGGCTGAGGCAGGAGAATCGCTTGAACCTGGGAGGTGGAGGTTGCAGTGAACTGAGATCGCGCCACTACACTCCAGCCTGTCACCGGCTGTGACAGAGTGAGACTCCATCACTCCATCTCAAAAAAAAAAAAAAAAAAAAAAAACCAAAAAAAGAGGTGATGTTTAAACCGAGTCTTGAAAGAAAAGTGGGAGGCTGCTCAGCAAAGCAGTAAGGACAAGATGTGGAGCAGGGGAAATGGATTTTGGAAACATGTAACCTCTCTGAGCCCCCGTTTCCTGCTCTGAAGAATCCTACCTCACCACTGAATGAGATAATATATGCAAGGTACCTAGCATGGGGCCTGGCCGATAGTAGGTACTGAAGAAGTCAGTTCTTTGTCCCTTCAGTATCAAAATCAGTTCCTCTTTGAAGTTTACTTTCCGTTCACATTTTGTTCTTTTCCCCAGTTCCTCTAGATATCTTGACTGTTGGCTTGGGCCTTAAAGTTACTCAGATGATTTTCCAAGATCTGGAAAATAATTTAAAACACCTATCATATTTTCCATCACAAAGAAAATCCCAATAAATTTGAAAACACAGGTGTCATATAGATCACATTCCCTGTTCACATATGCTAAAATTAGAAATTAATGTTAGAGTCTGTGTGAAATTTGTGACTGAAATTTGTGGCAGTGAAAACAATTAAAAAATAAAAATAATTAACTTCAGAAATCAGCTATTAAAAATTCTCCAGACCAGGCACGGTAGCTCACACCTGTAATCCCAACATTTTGGGAGGCCAAGGCGAGTGGATCACTTGAGTCCAGGAGTTTGAGACCAGCCTGGGCAATGTGGTGAGACTCCATCTCTATAAAAACAAAAATACAAAAATTAGCTGGGTGTGGTGGTGCACACCTGTAGTCCCAGCTACTCAGGAGGCTGAGGTGGGAGCATGGCTTGAGCCTGGGAGGTTGCACAGTGAGCTGAGATTATACTGCTGCACTTCAGCCTGGTTGATAGAGTGAGTCCCTGTCTCAAAAAAATAAAAAAAATCTCCAAAATTGCTTTTGGATAAAGTAAGAAATCAAGAATAAAGTGTTTTTTGTTTTTGTTTTGGAGACGGAGTCTTGCTCTGTCATCCAGGCTAGAGTGCAGTGGCACGATCTCGGCTCACCGTAGTCTCCGCCTGCCGGTTCACACCATTCTCCTTCCTCAGTCTCCCAAGTAGCTGGGACTACAGGCGCCCGCCACCATGCCTGGCTAATTTTTTTTTGGTATTTTTAGTAGAGACGGGGTTTCACCATGTTAGCCAGGATGGTCTCGATCTTCTGACCTCGGAACCCACCCGCCTTGGCCTCCCAAAGTGCTGGGATTACAGGCGTGAGCCACCGCGCCCAGCCAAAAAAGTGTTAATTTAGAAAATAACACAGGCTGGGCACGGTGGCTCACGCCTGTAATCCCAGCACTTTGAGAGGCCAAGATGGGAAGACTGTGTGAGGTCAGGAGTTCCATACTAGCCTGGCCAACAAAGCAAGACCCCATCTCAACAACAACAAAAAAGAGAAAATAACACAAACAAGAATTGTACCTGTGAATGGAATATTGTTGACAATAAAAAAAAGGACTGGGCTGGGTGCAGTGGCTCATGCCTGTAATTCCAGCACTTTGGGAAGTCAAGGCAGGAGGATCACTTGAGCCCAGGAGTTTTAAACTAGACTGGGCAACATGGCGAAACCCCGTTTCTACTAAAAATACAAAAATTAGCCAGGTGTGGTGGTGCACGCCTGTAATCCCAGCTACTTGGGAGGCTGAGGCACAAGAATTGCTTGAACCAAAGAAGAACAGGTTGCAATGAGCCAAGAGTAAGCCACTGCCCTCCAGCCTGTGCAACAGAGTGAGACTTTGTCTCAGAAAAATAAAACAAGAAAAAGTAAAATATGGCCCTATTTAATGATTATTGGGAATGTTGCAAATTGTATACAGTTAAGAATGTTCAAATAAATTAAAAATAAAGAATTTTTTTTAAAAAAGAATTGCACCCGGCCAGGCACGGTGGCTCATGCCTGTAATCCCAGAACTTTGGGAGGCTGAGGTGGGCGGATCATGAGCTTAGGAGATCGAGACCATCCTGGCTAACACGGTGAAACCCTGTCTCTACTAAAAATACAAAAAATTAGCCAGGCATGGCGGCGGGTACCTGTAGTCCCAGCTACTCAGGAGGCCGAGGCAGGAAAATGGCGTGAACCCGGGAGGCGGAGCTTGCAGTGAGCCAAGATTGAGCCACTGCACTCCAGCCTGGGCGACAGAGTGAGACTCTGTCACAAAAAAAAAAACAAAAAACAAAAAACAAAACAAAACAAAACAAAACTTCACCCATGAAAACCAAAAGTATACATGCAAAACTTTACTCAAAAATGTATTTAGCCGGGCGCGGTGGCTCACGCCTGTAATCCCAACACTTTGGGAGGACGAGGCAGGCAGATCACTTGAGGCCAGGAGTTCAAGACCAGCCTGACCAATATGGTGAAACCCCGTTTCTACTAAAAATACAAAAATTGGCCGGGCGAGGTGTCGTATGCCTGTAGTCCCAGCTACTCGGGAGGTTGAGACAGGAAAATCACTTGAACCCCGGAGGCAGAGATTGCAGTGAGCCAAGACATGCCACTACACTCCAGGCTAAGCAACAGACTGGGACTTCACCTCAATTTAAAAAAAAAAGTATTTAGATTTTAAAATAATTGTATTATTAAACCTAGAAAAAGTTAAATAAACAAAATAATCATTCATGTAACAATCTAAAATATTAAATCTAAAAATATTAAAAAACAAAATCCTAAGATGAGGAAGGAAGACATGAATAAATTAGAAAATAGAAAAACAGAATTAACACATATGTCTTTCAGCTGGTTTTTTGTTTTTTTTTTTTTAAGAGACAGGTCTTGCTCTGTGGCTCAGGCTGGAGGGCGGTGATGAGATTGGAGCTCACTTGCAGCCTCAAGTTCATTACCTGCTTTACCTCACTATCCTATTAGGTGGATACTATCAATTCCAGCTTCCTGGGACCATCAACAAGTTAATTAATTAATTAATTAATTATTATTGTTTAGAGACAAGGTCTCGCTCTGTTGCCCAGATTGGTCTCAAAGTCCAGAGCTCAAGTAAGCCTCTCACCTTGGCTTCTCAAAGTGCTGGGATTACAGACGTGGCCCAGCAAATGTTTCATTTTGTTTTGTTTTGTTTTTGAGACAGAGTATCGCTCGGTCACCCAGGCCGGAGTGCAATGGCATGATCTCGGCTCACTGCAACCTCCACTTCCCAGGTTCGATCGATTCTTCTGCCTCAACCTCCCAAGTAGCTGGGATTACAGGCGTACCCACCACACCTGGCTAATTTTTCTATTTTTAGTAGAGACGGGGTTTTGCCATGTTGGCCAGGCTGGTCTTGAACTCCTGAACTTAGGTGATCCACACCCCTCCCCACCGGCGTCCCAAAGCGCTGGGATTACAGGTGTGAGCCACTGTGCCCAACCAACAAGTGGATTTTTAAAGGAAAATATGAGACAGTTCCTAAGTTGTTTACCAAGAATTTACATTAAAAAAACATTAACTATTGATTGGCTGTACATTTTTTATCACAAATTCCAGCAACATAGATATGATGGTTAAGGCAGGTATTCAGGAAACTACAGGAAAGAAAAGAAAGAACAAAATGCCAGACTGCTCTAAGCTGTTTTTCTTCTCTCAATTCTCCCTTTTGATAGATATATTTCTCTTCCAAAGGCATTGAGGATCAACATTGTAGGTTTAAGTTTGTCCCGCATCGTTGGGAAGGCTCATTCCCAGGTAATATTGTCCCACATAGGAGGGAAAAAGGAGAGATACTATTGCTTAAGAATTTAGTGAATTCTTGGGCCAGGCGCAGTGGCTCACGCCTGTAATCCCAACACTTTGAGAGGCCGAGGCAGGTGGATCACCTGAGATCAGGAGTTCGAGACCAGCCTGACCAATGTGGAGAAACCCCGTCTCTACTAAAAATACAAACTTAGCCGGGTGTGGTGGTGCATACCTGTAATCCCAGCTACTTGGGAGGCTGAGGCAGGAGAATTGCTTGAACCTGGGAGGCGGAAGTTGCGGTGAGCCGAGATCACACCAGCCTGGGCAACAAGAATGAAACTCCATCTCAAAAAAAAAAAAAAAAAAGAAAGAGAAAAAAGAAAAGAAAAAAAGAATTTAGTGAATTCTCAAGGCCTAATTGATTAGCAGCACAAAGGGACATAGCAATGGGCTCTCAGGCCAGTCACCCTCCACCTACAAGCGAGCCAAGGCATGTTGGTTGGATCATTTCTGTTTTCTTTCTTTCTTTCTTTCTTTTTTTTTTTTTTCCTGAGACAGGGTCTTGCTCTGTCACCCAGGCTGGAGTGCAAAGTGCGATCATAGGTCACTGCCACCTTGACCTGGACTCAAGTGATCCCCCTGTCTCAGCTTCCCAAGTAGCTGGCACTACAGGGGCATGCCACCATGCCTGGCTTATTTTTAAATTTTTTGTAGAGATGGGGGTCCCACTATGTTGCCCAGGCTGGTCTCAGACTCTTGGGCCCAAGCCATCTCCCACCTCAGCCTTCCAAAGTTCTGGGATTGCAGGCGTGTGCTAATGGCACAGCTGAATCATTTCTAAGTGTCTAGCTATCACGATATCGTGACTAGTTGTTTTCATTGTTGACTTTAGATATCTAGAAATACAAAGCATTGTCAATTTAAGAGTAAAAAATATGATGCAAATAAGGACAATTATTAACAAAACAATTTGAAATCCAGATTTGAGTAATGTTCCTATTCCTGAAGGTAACCAAATAAATATTTCATCTACTTCTTGTCCTGGTCTGAAGAACAAGGCAGTAAAGACCTCCAGTGATGAAGATGTCCACTCAGGTTCAGCTGCCTGATACGGTGCCTTCCAGTGTGGCTGAAAGTTCTTTATTTGATGTTGTTTTCTAATAAACAAAATCTCCAGGTTGGAGACCATAATGTTTGATGTCTTCATCTTTCAGGAGCTTGCTGTTGCAAGAATCCTTCATTAATTTAGAATTTTTAATGAGAAGCTTATAAGGCCTTGGCAATGAAGAAGAATATCACCTTTAAGGAAAGCTGGTTAGTAGCATGGCCTTCCTGTTTTTATTTCAAAGGAAGAGAGCTGAAGTTTTCTAGAGTAGAATATAAGTTAAGCAAATGGAGGAGCCTTAGGCCAGGGAAGGTTAAAGGTTTCTGTAAGCTTTGCCAGTTGATTGTTGTGGGTTTTTTTGGTCTTCTTTTTTTTTTTTGAGACAGTGACTTGCTCGTCACCCTGCAATCTCTGCTAACTGCTGCCTCAAACCTCCGGGCTCAAGCGATTCTCCCTCCTCAGCCTCCCAAGTAGCTGGGACTACAGGCATACACCACTATACCCGGTTAATTTTTTTTTTTTTTTTTTTTTGGTAGAGATGGGGTCTCACCATGTTGCCCAGGCTGGTCTCAAACTCCTGGGTCAAGTGATCTCTTACCTCTGCCTCCCAAAGTGCTGGGATTACAGGCATGAGCCACCATGCCCAACCTGCCAATTGATTTTTTATGATGTGTGTTTCACCAGTTGTATAATGTCACAAGTTTCCCACATTATCTCTTTCCCCAAGTTTCCATATCCAATCAGTTTTATGTGTCATTCTTTTTTAAAAAATCTCTTCTATTTAAAACAACATTTAAAAACCTCCAGACAAGGCTGGTGTGGTGCCTCCCACTTGTAATTCCAGCATTTTGGGAGGCTGAGATGGGAGGATTGCTTGAGACCAGGAGTTTGAGACCAGTCTAGGCAACATAGTGAGACCCTATACCTACAAAAAAAAAAATTAGCTGGGTGCAGTGGCACATGCCTGTAGTCCTAGCTGCTCAGGAGGCTGAGGCAGGAGGATTATTTGAGCCCAGGAGTTTGAGGCTGTAGTGAGCTATTGATGGTGCCACTGTACTCCAGCCTGGGTGACAAAGCAAGATCCTGTCCCTAAAAAAAAAAGAAAAAAAATCCCAGACAAAATTACTTTTCCTTGAACAAAAACCACACTGTCATGCCTTCTTTACAATCTTCTTTGCCAAAAACACATCCTATTTTTCTGATATGTTCTGTATAAATAATTGCTTCTCTTAGAACTAGTAGTTTTAATTCCACATATTAACTACAATTTTATCTCTTAGTAACCTTAGTTTCTAGTGAAAAACCTATAAGTTATTTTGAACTATTTTATATCATTATTTATAGATGAAAACCATTTCATAACTTTTTAGGAAGATGTTACTTCATTTTTTTTGTTTATTAACCGATCTAAATGTATTTTAGCTTTTCTATACCATATGAAAATGAGATGCTGCCCAGGCATGGCGGCTCAGGCCTGTAATCCTAGCACTTTGGGAGGCTGAGGCAGATGGATCACTTGAACTCAGGAGTTCAAGACCAGCCTGGGCAACATAGTGAAATCTTATCTCTACAAAAAACAAAAAATTAGCTGGGCGTGGTGGTGCATGCTTGTGGTCTCAGCTACTTGCAAGGCTGAGGTGGGAGGATCGCTTCAGCCAGGGAAGTGAGGTTGCAGTGAGTTGGGATTGTGCCACTGCACTCCAGCCTGGGTGACAGAGCAAGACTCTATCTAAAAAAAAAGAGAAGAAAAGAAAGAAATAAGATGCCCAAGTACATAAGCTTATGTTTAATATTTCAGTATTTTAACTTACTTAGAAATGACTTAGACATTTTATGATTACATATTCATTAATTTAAGATAAGATGACTTATAATATACAAGTACCCTCCCCAGTGTCTTCCTCAGTCATCTTGGGTCCCAAGTACCCATGTGGCACCAAGGATGGCAATGAAGGGCGAGCCCATCTCGATCCTGAATTTATATGCCAGGTGTAGAGCTTAGGATGGAGCTGTGAAGACAATGCCTGGAGGATCTGACCCTTTCCCACATGGGTAGGAAACACAGCTGGGCCAGGGAGGACATATTGGGTTTGTCTCTGCCCTGTCACTGGTGGCTTAGGTGCTATAGACATACATATGTCTTCAGGGCTTACTATGGCCACCTGTGTAGAATCCAGACTCTAAAGGTGCAAAACCAAAGACGGAAGCTCACAGTAAGATGTATGCAATGCTTCAGGGAAGCCTAGCAGCCACTCACACAGCTTTAGCTCACAAATAAATCAAGAAAGTATAAAAAAATTACAGAAGCAACAGCTGTATGACCTTAAAATATCTAGCAAAGACAGTAAAACCCGTCCAACCCATAGACCCAGGCAAAAATGTCTTAACTATATTTAATACCGACAATTCTGAAAAATCCTAATTTCATATTACCAACGATTTTAAAACTAGTTTTATTTATAAAAGATGACTAAAGTCACATGAACTTAAAAAGCATTTGGTAGCCAGGCATGGTGGCATGTACCTGTAGTCCTAGCTACTCAGGAGGCTGAAGCAGGGGATCACTTGAGCCCAGAAGTTCAAAGATGCAGCAAGCTATGATCACATCACTGCATACCAGCCTGCGTGACAGAGTGAGACCCTGTCTCAAAAAAAGAAAGAACAAAAGAAAGAAAGAATGAAGGAAAGAAGGAAGGAAGGAAGGAGAGTGAGAAAGAAAGAAAGAAAGAAAGAAAGAAAGAAAGGAAGGAAGAAAGAGAAAGAAAGAAAGAAAGAAAGAAAGGGAGAGAAGAAAGGCATTTGGATTTACGTATTTAATTTATGAACATTCATTTATTACAAGTCAACTTGGAACCATGTAGACAGTATACAAACAAAGACATGTATGCTGTATACATAAAAAATACAGACAGGCCAGGTGGGTGGCTCATGCTTGTAATCGCAGCACTTTGGGAGGCTGGGGCTGGAGGATCACTTGAGCCCAAAATTTGAGGCTAGCCTGGCCAACATAAGGAGATCCCATCTCTACAAAAATAATTTTTAAAAATATCAGCTGGGTGTGGGTGGTGCTCATCTATTGTCCCAGCTACTTGGGAGGCTAGGGTGGGAGGACTGCCTGAGCCCAGAAAGTCAAGGTACTCCAGCCTGGGTGACACAGTGAGACTTTGTCTCAAAAAACCAACAAACAAAAAATCCAAAACAAACAAACAAAAAAAACCTACACAGACACAAAAATAATGATGTTAATGCTTTTACTTAAAGTTTTAGCCATAAAACTGGTAAAACTCACTAGTTTAAAAGGACAGTTGGATTAAATTGTGCCTTGTTAAATGGAGTAAGTTAAAGCTTATTGAAGCCCTTGTCAAGTTTTTGAGAAAACAGAGTAGCAAACTTGCATCTCAATGCACAGAGAGAATTTAAACATTTTCAGGGAGTTTGGGTGTATTAGAAGAAGATTAAAAATGGATGCCAAAGCCAGGTGTGGTGTCTCACACCTGTAATCCCAGCACTGTGGGAGGCGGAAGTGGGCAGATCACCTGAGGTCAGGAGTTCCAGACCAGCCTGGCCAACATGGTGAAACCCCATCTCTATCAAAAATACAAAAATTAGCCGGGTTTGATGGCAGGCGCCTGTAATCCCAGCTACTCGGGAGGCTGAGGTAGGAGGATCACCAGAATCAGGGAGGCGGAGGTTGCAGTGAGTGGAGATCACACCACTACACTCCAGCTGGGCGACAGAGCGAGACTCCGTCTCAAATAAATAAATAAACCCACAAAGACAACTTACCTTCATGCATCTTTCAGTTTGGAACGGGAATTAGTCAGAAATTCAAAGACAAGTCTGAATTACAATCAATAGGAGGGCTGCAATTTTAAAAGCAATGCTACATTATTTTCTGCCAAGAGAGGTGAAACCACCAGCACCTGACAGCCGATAACTGGATCCTTTTGCCCTGAAGCAGAGTTGGAGAAGGCAGAAGTCCTCAGCAGAGCTCTTTTCCTGAATCTTCTGTGTAGAGACAGAGACCAAAGCCCTGATTCTTAAATGAAAGAGAGGGTTTGAAATTACTGGAGTCAAAGGAACACAATAGAGTGAGGCTGGCACCCAGCACTGAGTCTCAGAGGGAACACTGGGTAGTCAGTGGCGGTCACTCTGAATCCTGTGGATCTGTGCCAGATACGTTAACTTACAGAAAGAAACTGAGGCAAATTAATACAAGTAGAGAATTTATCTGGGGCTAGTTTGGAAACTGCAACTTGGGAGCATAGATTCAAGTTGCCCTGAATATACACTCTGATTAGCAGAAGTTACAGGTGGGTTTTGTTGTTGTTGTTGTTGTGTGTTTGTTTGTTTTAGTACTCAGTGGTTATAGCAACTAGTGGGTTTTTAAATGAAAAACAAAGAGGCAGTTCCTAAATTGTTTACCAAGAATTTGCATGAAAATAATGGCAGCCCTGCGCCGGTGGCCCACACCTGTAATCCCAGCACCTTGGGAGGCCGAGGAGGGTGGATTACAAGAGGCCAGGAGTTCAAGAGCAGTCTTGGCAACATGGTAAAACCCTGTCTCTACTAAAAATACAAAAATTAGCCGGGCATGGTGGCACATATCTGTGGTCCCAGCTACTCGGGAGGCTGAGACAGGAGAACTGCTTGAACCTGGGAGGTGGAAGTTGCAGTGAGCCGAGGATGGCGCTGCTGTACTCCAGCCTGGGCGACAGAGTGAGACTCTGTCTCAAGAAAAAAAAAAAAAAGAAAAAAGAAAAGAAGAACATAGCTATTAATTGGCTATACATTGCTCTTTGTATCACAAATTTCAGGAACATGAAGATAATGGGTGAGGCGGCTAGTCAGGAAATTACAAGGGAGAAAAGAAAGAACAAAATGTCATTGAACAATTGCCGCTGGGCATGGGTGACCCCATCCCATGGGCATGGGATGCAGGACTGAAATCCCATAGTCCTGTCTCTCTAGACCTGATAAATTTTGCATACCTCACATAGCTCGGACTGCTCTGAGCTATTTTTCTTTTTCTCACTGGTAAGCCCCTACCATAGCTCCCCAAACTTCATGGCAGCATTTTGTGCACTAGTAACTATTTAATTGTTTATAACACTGTGTGTCCTGCCCCTCTCATCCTGGCTTGCGGTTCCAAAAGGATAGGGACCATATCTTCCTTCAAACCTCCGAGTCCCAGTGCTCAATCAATACTGTGAAATGAATGAATGAACAGACGTGCAGGCTTCAATCGCCCAGTCAAATAGAGACTGCAAAGTTGTTTTCTAATAATGAAGGAACTGGTAGGGGGCGGGATTTGATTGGACATCCAAGCCAGGAAGAAGATGTTCGAGGAAGCAGGGATTCACTGATACAGGGGCTGTGGGGGCCAAGTGGAAGGGAGTATCAGAGTGTAGCAAGCACCAGATTCATAGTTGGTGTCTTGCTCCCGCTCTAAGGCTGGGGTGCTTAAGTGGAGAAAGCTGACGGTGGCAGGTAGTAAGTGCTTGGTAAACGTTGGTCATTAAAATTAATGCAATAGGCCAGGTGCAGTGGCTGACACCTGTAATCTCAGCACTTTGGGAGGCTGAGACAGGTGAATCACCTGAGGCCAGGAGTTCGAGACCAGCCTGGCCAACATGGCTGTATTAGTCCGTTCACACGCTGCTAATAAAGACATACCTGAGACTGGGGAATTTGTAAAGGAAAGAGGTTTAATTGACTCACAGTTCAGCATGGCTGGGGAGGCCTCAGAAAAACTGCAATTATGGCGGAAGGGGAAGGAAACATGTCCTTCTTCACATGGCAACAACAAGGAGAAGTGCTGAGCAAAAGGGAGAAAAGCCCCTTATAAAGCCATTAGATCTCATGAGAATTCACTCACTGTCACAAGAAAAGCATGAGGGAAACCGCCCCCATGATGAAATTACCTCTTAATGGGTCCCTCCCATGACACATGGGGATTATGGGAACTACAATTCAAGATGAGATTTGAGTTGGGACACAAAGTTTAACCATATCAATGATGAAACCCTGTCTATACTAAAAATACAAAAGTTAGCTGGACATGGTGGTCGGCACCTGTAATCCCAGCTACTCACGAGGCTGAGGCAGGAGAATCGCTTGAGTCTGGGAGGCGGAGGTTGCAGTGAGCCAAGATCAAGCCACTGTACTCCAGCTTGGGCTACAGAGCAAGATCCTGTCTCAAAAAAACAAAAACAAAAAAACACCCATAAAATTAATGCAATAACCATATAGATGGAGCTCCTGGGAAAAGCTGTTTCATTTGCTGGAAAAGGGAAGGATGGAAGAATAATCTAAACAAAAACATAGAGAAATGAAAGTACAGGCCAGGCGCGTTGCCTCATGCCTGTAATCCCAGCACTTTGGAAGGCTGAGGTGGGTGGATCACTTGAGGTCAGGAGTTCGAGACCAGCCTGAACATGGTGAAACCTTGTCTCTACTAAAAATACAAAAACTAGCCACGTGTGGTGGCACATGCCTGTAGTCCCAGCTACTTGGGAGGCTGAGGCAGGAGAATCACTTGAACCTGGGAGGCAGAGGTTGCAGTGAGCTGAGATCATGCCACTGTACTCTAGCTTGGGCAACAGATTGAGACTCTGTCTCAAAAAACAAAACAACAACAAAAAAGATTTGTGATTTAGGCAAAGAAATGTGGCCTTATTGTGGGTGGGAGAAGAAGCACAAGGGAAAGGAGAAGGAGGCAGATATACAATCTGCTTGCTTCAGCTGGGCATGGTGGCTCACGCCTGTAATCCTAGCACTTTGGGAGGCTGAGGCGGGTGGATCACCTGAGGTCATGGGTTTCAGACCAGCCTGGCCAACATATTGAAACCCCGTCTCTACTAAAGATACAAAAATTAGTCAGGCCTGGTGGTGCTAGCTACTTGGGAGGCTGAGGCAGGAGAATCACTTGAACCTGGGAGGTGGAGGTTTCAATGAGCCGAGATTGCCACTCCAGCCTGGACCACAGAGTGAGACTCCGTCTCAAAAAAAAAAAAAAAATCTACTTGCTTCATGGGAGTGGAAACTGCATACAGGTATGTCAGAGAATTGTCCTTAGTGACCAATGTGGAGGAGGGGGCAGCTATTCCTAGGGATAGCTTGGTGGCTGCCCCCATACTTCTAGATAGTCTGAGAGAGGAAATGCTGAGTATTGGGAAGCATGAGTTTTTTGTTGTTGTTGCTTTTGTTTGAGACGGAGTCTTGCTCTGTTGCCCAGTCTGGAGTGCAGTGGCTTGATCTTGGCCCACAGCAACCTCTGCCTCCTGGGTTCAAGTGATTCTCCTGCCTCAGCCTCCAGAGTAGCTAGGATTACAGCCATGGGCCACCACGCCCAGCTAATTTATTTATTTATTTATTTATTTTGAGACAAAGTTTTGCTTTTGTCACCCAGCTGGAGTGCAATGGCACGATCTCAGCTCACTGCAACCTCCGCCTCCCAGGTTCAAGCGATTCTCCTGCCTCAGCCTCCCGAGTAGCTGGGATTACAGGCGACCACTACCACGCCTGGCTAATTTTTTGTATGTTTAGTAAAGACGGGATTTCACCATGTTAGCCAGGCTGGTCTCGAACTGCTGACCTCAGGTGATCCACCCGCCTCAGCCTCTCAAAGTGCTGGGATTACAGGCGTAAGCCACTGCGCTGGCCTTTTTTTTTTTTTTTTTTTTTTTTTTTGTATTTTTAGTAGAGATGGGGTTTCACCATGTTGGCCAGGCTGGTCTTGAATTCCTGACTTCAGGTGATCCCCCGCCTCGCCTCCCAAAGTGCTGGCATTACAGGCATGAGTCACTGCACCCAGCTGGGAAACGTGAGTTTGAATACATCTCATCACAGTGATAAAGAAGGCGGGGACATCTTGCAGCAGGTGCAGGTCATTCCTCTGCAGACCCAGCTCCTCAAGTTCACTTCATGCTTTTCTCCTTCTTCTCAGCGCCTCACCTGCCTTCCTTTTGCCACCTCTTGCCCAGGTGCTGTGAGACAACCTCCTGCTCTCCCCTCCCTCCTGTGGAGTCCACTTGTGAGTAAAAAAAAAAATGGCTGGAAACATGGTGGGGTTGCAAAGATTCACATTTTCTTTGTACACCTGTAAAAAGAAAATAGGAGAGGTGTATTCTCCTAGATACACCCATATTATATATATATAAAAAAAAAAGGAAAACCATATCACATGAAGGAAAATTAAGCATTACAAAGAGACCCGTGTCAACCCCCTGAGCCCTTGGACATGCTCAGAAGCCCCCTTCAGATCCCCTCTGGAGCCTCCATCTGCCAGCTCATTCTCATTAATTAAACGTGCTTTTCTCTAGCATCAGCACTCATAACAAATGATGACAGGGTTTCGGATCCCAAATCTTTCTTTTTTTTTTTTTTTTTTTTTTTTTCTGTTTAACAAAGCACATCTTGCACCGCCCTTAATCCATTTAACTCTGAGTGGACACAGCACATGTTTCAGAGAGCACAGGGTTGGGGGTAAGGTCACAGATCAACAGGATCCCAAGGCAGAAGAATTTTTCTTAGTACAGAACAAAATGAAAAGTCTCCCATGTCTACTTCTTTCTACACAGACACGGCAACCATCCGATTTCTCAATCTTTTCCCCACCTTTCCCCCCTTTCTATTCCACAAAACCGCCATTGTCATCCTGGCCCCTTCTCAATGAGCTGTTGGGCACACCTCCCAGACGGGGTGGTGGCCAGGCAGAGGGGCTCCTCACTTCCCAGTAGGGGCGGCCGGGCAGAGGCGCCCCTCACCTCCCGGATGGGGCGGCTGGCCGGGCGGGGGGCTGACCACCCCCACCTCCCTCCCGGACGGGGTGGCTGCCGGGCGGAGAGGCTCCTCACTTCTCAGACGGGGTGGCTGGGCAGAGACGCTCCTCACCTCCCAGACGGGGTGGCGGCCGGGCAGAGGCGCTCCTCACATCCCAGACGATCGGCGGCCGGGCAGAGACGCTCCTCACTTCCTAGATGTGATGGCGGCCGGGAAGAGGCGCTCCTCACTTCCCAGATGGGATGGCGGCCAGGCAGAGACGCTCCTCACTTCCCAGACGGGGTGGCGGCCGGGCAGAGGCTGCAATCTCGGCACTTTGGGAGGCCAAGGCAGGCGGCTGGGAGGTGGAGGTTGTAGCGAGCCGAGATCACGCCACTGCACTCCAGCCTGGGCGCCATTGAGCACTGAGTGAACCAGACTCGGTCTGCAATCCCGGTACCTCGGGAGGCCGAGGCTGGCGGATCACTCGCGGTTAGGAGCTGGAGACCAGCCCGGCCAACACAGCGAAACCCCATCTCCACCAAAAAAATACGAAAACCAGTCAGGCTGAGGCAGGAGAATCAGGCAGGGAGGTTGCAGTGAGCCGAGATGGCAGCAGTATAGTCCAGCTTCAGCTCGGCATGAGAGGGAGACCGTGGAAAGAGAGGGAGAGGGAGACCATGGGGAGAGGGAGACCATGGGGAGAGGCAGAGGCAGAGGGCAGAGGCAGAGGCAGAGCCCCAAATCTTTCTTATTTATCATCCATGGTTGTAAGACTTGCTTTCTGTTTTTTCATTTCAAAAATTCAGCATTTCCACTATATTACACATTAAATAAAAATCTCTTAGACTGGGAATTTGACAATTGAAAATTCCACCACCCTTTTCTCCACATGGGTAAAAAAGGTGCTAAGTTCTAAACTGATTTACAAATGAATTTTTGGACCATAACCTGTCTGTAAGCTATTTGGCGTATCTGTATGTAACCACGTGTTTGTATGTGAATTTGCTTACCCCAAGTGGGGTTTTTTCCTCTCTTTCTTTTTCTTTGCTTCCATCCTTCCTCCCTCCCTTCCTCGCTCCCTCCCTCTCTTCCTCCCTCCCTTCCTTCCTTCCTTTCTTCCTTCCTTCCTTCGTTCCTTCCACATGCAGCATCCGCTGATCTTGCTTCTTTTTTTTTTTTTTTTTTAATTTTTGAGACAGTTTCACTCTTGTTGACGAGGCTGGAGTGCGATCTCGGCTCACCGCAACCTCTGCCTCCTGGGTTCAAGCGATTCTCCTGCCTTAGCCTCCCGAGTAGCTGGGATTTCAGGCATCCGCCACCATGCCTGGCTAATTTTTTTGTATTTTTAGTAAAGACGGGGTTTCACCATGTTGGTCAGGCTGGTTTCGAACTCCTGACCTCAGGTGATCAGCCTCCCAAAGTGCTGGGATTACAGGCATGAGCCACCATGCCCAGCCTCATCTTGCTTCTTATAATGCATCCCAATTTTGGTTTGAGGGCACTATCCCTTGCCTACTCAAAGTCCATGCAGTTGGGTGGTGTTGATCCAGTCACAAGTGTGGCATGGGCCCATGTCCAGCCCATTAATGCATCACATTTCTTTATGTCACTTTTGAGCCAAGTCAGGCCAGCTAGGGACAGTAGAATTCAATTAGTTGTTGGACTTATTGTACTTACCTTTTCCCGAGAGAGCGTAAGGTTTGGAGCTATGGCCACCATCTTGCAATGACAGGAAAGTGAAACTAGTGTGGAGTAGAGCAGAGAGGGGAAGTAGAGACTTGATTCTTCGATGAAGCTGCCCCTGAAGATTGACTGTACGCTTAGGCTTGTCTGCTTTATGAGCGAATAAGTCCACTTTTTGCTTTAACCAAAAAAGTTTGGGTTGGATTTCCTGTCACTTGCAACCAAAAGAGCTCTCACTGGTTCTCTCTCTACTCCTGCATTAGTGAGTCCCATGGCAGACTCATGGATCCCCTGCTGTTGACCTAAATACCCTGCTCTTCTCCTCCTCTTTGGAAAATGAGCACTGCACACATGTCCTGCTGAAAGAAAAGGAACTGTTTTTAAACAGTCTGAGCTCCAGTCTTTTCTGTACCTCCAAATAGGGAAGTCACATATGTTCCCAGAGTTCTAGCAGACACTCTAGCTGTCATCTGGCACCATCCTGAAACTCAGAGCCGTTCTCCTGTGGGGAAACGCAGCCAGCCCCAGGTAGAACCAAAGTGACAGCGAATTCAGGGTGTTCCGAGTCTCCCGATGGCCAAATTGACCAAACCTGCCTCTCCTGGCCGATCTCCAGAGGCACAGAGAATTCATGTCATGTTTGAAAGAACAGTAAACCTGGCAGGCAAGGTGGGGAGAGAAGTGGTTAAAGACAAGGGCATAGGCATCAGCCAGACCTGGGTCTAAATCCTCAACTCATCACTCACAAGCTGGGTGCTGGTAGCAAGTTACTGAGCCTCCTGGGCCTCAGATATCTCATCTGTAAAATGGGGATAGCAGCATCCACTTCACAAAGCATTTGCAAGGACTGACTGATAAAATGAGGCGACAATGCCTGCATAAGTGCTCAAAATATGGGAAAAAATAACAATATTATTGTCATTCGATAGCTCCAAGCCTGGCCTAACTTACAAGCATGCTAAAGCTTCTTTTTAACTGGAAGGATCCTAAAATGGAGAGAGCAAAAGCTAGTTATAGCTTGGGTTCCCCTCAGTTGGAACCATGGCATGAAGAACATGGGCATTAGCTTCAAGTAGACTTAGGTTCAAGTCTGGCTGTCACTTATAAGTTGTGTGACCTTGAACAAGCCATGAGAGACCTTCTGAGCCATTATTGCTCCATCTGTAAAGTAGGCAAATGAAAACTGACTTCTGAGACTTGTGGTGAGAATGTCAGGTTGTTAACAGCTCAGTAAGTGGGTGGGCTGCGGTGGCTCACGCCTGTAATCCCAACACTTTGGGAAGCTAAGGCGGGCAGATCACCTGAGATCAGGAGTTCAAGATCAGCCTGGCCAACATGGTGAAACCCCGTCTCTGCTGAAAGTATTTTCTCTACTGAAAAATTAGCCAGGTGTGATGACGGGTGCCTGTAATCCCAGCTACTCGGGAGGCTGAGGCAAGAGAATCACTTAAACCTGGGAGGTGGAGGTTGCAGTGAGCCAAGATTGCGCCACTGCACTCCAGCCTGGGTGACAGAGTGAGAATCTGTCTCAAAAAAAAAAAAAAAGCTCAGTAAATGGTGGGTATGCCCTGGGCGTGTCCATGGCTGGCTGTGCAAGTGATGGCCCTCAATTAGCTGAGTGCAGGGGTGAGGCTGCTGTTATCTTTATTTAAGCAGAATTAATGTATTCCTTAGGCAAAGGATATAATTTATGGTGAGAGAAGAGGAAGAGGAAGCAAAAAGAGGAAGAATAATGAGCAAACAACAGTGCTACCGAGGAAGAGCTATGTGGAGTGACATTGCTTGAGATCTTTACGCACAGATGGTTTGCCACTCTGGGAGCCTTGCAATATGAGGGCAGGGCATTGGCAGTGGTGTCAGAAGAGCTGGGTTCTCCCTGGGAGGCAGAGGTTGCGGTGAGCCAAGATCATGCCACTGCACTTCAGCCTGGGTGACAAAGCGAGACCCTGTCTCCAATAAAAAATAAAAATAAAAATAGGCCAGGCACGGTGGCTTATTCCTATAATCCCAGCACTTTGGGAAGCCAAGGCAAGTGGATCACCTAGAGTTAGGAGTTCGACACCAGCCTGGCCAACATGGTGAAACCCTGTCTCTACTAAAAATACAAAAAATTAGCCAGGCATGGTGGCAGGCTCCTGTAATCCCAGCTACCTGGGAGGCTGAGGCAGGAGAATCATTTGAACCCAGGAGGCAGAGGTTGCAGTGAGCCGAGATTGCGCCATTGCACTCCAGACTTGGCAACAAGAATGAAACTCTGTCTCAAAAAAATATATAAATAAATACAAATAAAAGTAAAAAGAAGAGCTGGGTTCTCATCAGTAACTCTGGGCCACCCAGAAACTCACGCCCCTTTAGTTCTGGCTGAGCTGCTTTCCTTACCTGTGTGACCTCAGACCTCTGACAGCTTCTCTGAGCCTTGTGTCCTATTTGTAAAGTGGAACTATTAACACTTAACATCTTTCCCAGGATGGATGTGGAGGTTAAATAAAACATGGAATGTGGAAACACTTTAAAAACTGTCTAGAATCTCCAGGCGCAGTGGCTCACGCCTGTAATCCCAGCACTTTGGAAGGCCAAGGTGGACAGATCACCTGAGGTCAGGAGTTTGAGACCAGCCTGGCCAACTTGGTGAAACCCTGTCTCTACTAAAAATACAAAAACAAAAAAAAATTAGCCAGGTGTGGTGGCGCATGCCTGTAATCCCAGCTACTCGGGAGACTGAGGCAGGAGAATCACTTGAACCTGGGAGGCAGGGGCTGCCGTGAGCCGAGATCGTGCCATTGTACTCCAGCCTGGGCAACAAGAGCAAGACTCAGTCTCAAAAACAAACAAACAAACAAACAAACAAACAAAAACAGAAAACTGTCTAGAATCCTCTTCTGGCCTTAGATAGCCTTAAGGATCTATGGTTTGGGTCCTGCAGCTTTACAATATACATGACATATTTCCTTTTTTAAAAATTTAAAATATTTTATATCTTTTTAAAAATAAAATTTAAAATAATTAAAATAATTTTTAATTTAAGACTGGGTCTCACTGCATTGCCCAGGCTGGTCTCAAACTCCTGGACTCAAATGATTCTCCCGCCTTAGCCTCCCAAAGTGCTGGGATTACAGGCATGAGCCACTGCACCTGGCCACATGACACATTTTCAATGTACTTTTCCTGTGTCTGTTTCATGCCCTGAAGGACGGACAGGGTAGGAACAGAGCAGGGAGGGTAGCAACACAGAGTTTGGCATGGGCTGGCCTCCCTGATGGAGGAGGTGGTTGGGGTAGGGCTGTTAAATGGGCAGAAGTGAGGTGGCAGAAAGGCAGACAGTCTAGATGACCTGAACCTGAATCCTGGCCTGCGACTGGGAGACCTTGGGCAGGTCACTTATAAACTCTCCAGCCTCCCTTAATTCTTGAGGATGAGAATGTTATTGTGAGGATTAAAAAGAAACATGTTTAAAGCACTTAGCATGGTCCTGGACATGTTTTCAATCTCCATGAGTTTTATTTAATTATTAAATAGGAGAAACAAATTAGAAACTCAGGAATACCTGAATGCAGTCTGGGTTCATTCAGAAATGAACATTTGATCCACTAAGGGAGTGTCTGATTTTCAAATGACTTATCTTCATTTAATAATATTTAATTGGCTTAGAATGGCAGAGTATGGGTTCTCTAGGTTGGAAAGGACATTAGGCAGGGCTTGCGGTGTGGCCCCAGGAATCCTGGGCTCAGCAGAGCTGCCTCAGTGTCAGGAAGGCCCAGTGGGCAGAGTTCCAGGGATTTGCCCCTGAAAGAAGTTTGTAAACCCCACAGTTCAATGCATAAACCCATTCTGATATTCCTGGTACGAGACTGAGGCCCTTCTTTGAACAATTCTGTAACATTAGACATCACTACCTTTCTTTATTGGAACAGGAATCTACTGCCCTGTTAGGGCCATCTGTGTCCAGCTTCTAGATCTGATTTCCAGAATTCTCCATTCTTTTTTATTTTAACTTTTTTTTTTTTGTAGCAATGGGGTCTTCCTATGTTGTCCAGACTGATCTCAAACTCCTGGGCTCAAGCCCTCCTCCTGCCACAGCCTCCCAAAGTGTTAGGATTACAGGCATGAGCCACCACACTTGCCTGAATTCTTCATTCTTAAGAAACAGCTTCCAGCATAACCCACAGGAACTGCAGGGTTCTGCCCCATGGGCCCTCCTGAGGAAGCTTGGGGACTGACGGCTTCTGCTGAGCCTCAGAAGAAGGAAGGAACCCAGCATCCTTGAGAATCCGTTTTTAGGCCGAGGTGGGTGGATCACTCAATGCCAGGAGTTCGAGACCAGCCTAGCCAACATGGTGAAACCCCGTCTCTACTAAAAATATACAATTTAGCTGGGTGTGATGGCACATGCCTGTAATCCCAGGTACTCTCAGGAGGCTGAGGCATGAGAATTTCTTGAACCCGGGAGGCAGAGGGTGCAGTGAGCTCAGATCATGCCACTGCACTCCAGCCTGGGCAACAGAGGGAGACCCTGTCTCAAAAAAAAGGGGAAGTCAATTTTTTTTAGAAATTCCTGTTGAAGTCCAATAACTCAGGGACCAGAGGCCTTTGAGACAGTGAGCTCTGTCCTCTGTGAAACCATAGCTTGTTATACAACAGGCTGTAATTAATATCTCCAGGAGTCTGAAAGACACCCCATCACTAATAAAAAATGAAAGCCGTCTGGGCCCAGTGCCCAGAGCCTGCAGACTCCTGCCAGGCCGGGATCCTCCAGCAGAGAGCGCTCACAGGGACAAGACACGTCAACCATGCCCCTACAGTCCCAGCCTCCAAATTGCAGAACACAGCTCTGTCCCACCTGGTTTTGCTCAGCCAGAGCAGGGCAGGCACCAGAAGACCTGCTTCTTCAGGGTGTGAGCCACTCAGAGGACAGACCTGGGCGTGTTGGGGTCAGGTGGGGGAGAGGGAGAATGGGGCACCTGCTTCAGGAGTGAATTTCCTTTGATTCCCAACTTGCACATCTGTTTGTTGCCCATTTTGCAAGGATTGGGCTTCCACTCTGGTGTAGGGCACATGGGTTCAGCCAGAACTTTCCTGCACACTGCTGCTAGATTCACTTGCTGAAAACACCTCTCAAATCGCACCACTCTTTTACTCAAGAACCTGTAACGACCCCATGTCCATGGTATCAGGTGGACTTTTCTGACTGGTGTCAAGGCCTTTGGTAATTTGCCTTCTCTGTTCCAATCTGCATCGTCTCTACATAGGCAGGCTGGTCTCCCTCTCTGGCTGCCCCAAACTGCCACCCAGTTTCTATTCCATAAAATGGCACCAGTAGTGCCCACCTCCTAGAGTTACCGTCGTGTGGCTTAAACAAGAGAACACATGTGAACCACACGCCTGGCATATAATAGGCACTTATAGTATGTTAAATGTTTGTGATGTCGCTGCTGCTACTGAACTCATTCCTTCCTTTGTAACTTCCCCCTTCCCTTCTCCCAGCCAAAACGTTTCTGCCCTTTACAGCTCAGCTCAAAGCTCCTCTTCTTCTTGGAAGTCATCCAGGATCATCATGTAACTGTGTTTCCAAACCTGGGGCACTTCGGAATCACCTGGGGTTTTTTTTTAATGTCTTTTTTTTTTTTTTTTTGCTTGGTTAAACATTATTTTAGTGGTAACAATGCTTTTATTACTTTTTTACCATTGTAATCATTTTTAATGTAAAATTTACCATCTAAACAATTTTTTTTTTTTTTTGCAGACGGAGTTTCTCTCCTGTCACCCAGGCTGGAATGCAATGGCATGGTGTCGGCTCACTGCAACCTTTACCTCCCGGGTTCAAGTGATTCTCCTGCCTCAGCCTCCTGAGTAGCTGGGATTACAGGCACCCACCATCATGCCTGACTAATTTTTGTATTTTTAGTAGAGACGGGGTTTCGCCATGTTGGCCACGCTGGTCTCGAACTCCTGACCTCAGGTGATACATCTGCCTTGGCCTCCCAAAGTGCTGGGATTACAGGTGTGAGCCACCACGCCCGGCCTCTCATAGAGGTTTTGATTTTCACTTGCTGGATGATTAGTGATGTAAGCACCTTTTTATATACCTGTTGGCCATTTTTATGTCTTTCTTGAGGAAATGTCTGTTCAAGTGCTTTGGCAAATCGAGTTACTTGCTTTTCTGTCACTGAGTTGTAAGAGTTTGTTGTTGTTGTTGTTGTTTTGTTTTGTTTTGAGACAGAGTCTCGCTCTGTCACCCAGCCTGGAGTGCAGTGGCGCAATCTTGGCTCACTGCAACCTCCGCCTCCTGGGTTCAAATGATTCTCCTGCCTCAGCCCTCCGAGTAGCTGGGATTACAAGAGCCCGCCACCACACCCGGCTAATTTTTCTATTTTTAGTAGAGGTGGGGTTTCACAAAGATTGGCCAGACTGGTCTCAAACTCCTGACCTCAGGTGATCCACTCGTCTCGACCTCCCAAAGTGCTGGGATTACAGGCGTGAGCCACCGTGCCCAGTCATTTTTTTTTTCTTTTTGAGATGGAGTTTTTGCTCTCTCGCCCAGGCTGGAGTACAGTGGTGCGATCTTGGCTCACTGCAACCTCTGCCTGCTGGGTTCGAGGGATTCTCCTGCCTCAGCCTTCCGAGTAGCTGGGATTACAGGTGCCCGCCACCATGCCTGGCTAATTTTTGTATTTTTTGTAGAGACCTAGTTTTACCCTGTTGGCCAGGCTTGTCTCAAACTCCTGAAGTGCTGGGATTACAGGAGTGAGCCACTGTGCCAGGCCGAGTTGTAACAGTTCTTTATATATTTTGAATACTAATTCCATTATCAGATACATGGTTTGCAAAGATTTTTCTCAGTCCATAGACTGCTTCCCATTTTGTCTTCTTTGCTGTGCAAAAGGTTTTTTCTTTAATCTAGTTCCATTATTTATTTTTGCTTTTATAGCTTGACCTCTTGGTATTATATTAAAAAATAATTGCCAAGACCAATGTCAAGGAGCTTTTCCCCTGTGTTCTTATCTAGGAGATTTATGGTTTCAAGTTTTACATTTAGGTCTTTCATCCATTTCGATTTGATTGTTATGTATGGTGTATGATAAGGATCCGATTTTGTTCTTCTGCATATGAAAATAGTTTTCCCAGCACCATTTATTGTCTTCATTTCTGATTTTATTTTATTTATTTTGTTTTATTTTTTGAGATAGGGTCTCACTCTATTGCTCAGGCTGGAGTGCAGTGGCGATATCATGGCGCACTGCAGCCTCAACCTCCTGGGCTCAAGGGATCCTCCTGCCTCAGCCTCCTGATGAGATGAGACTCTATCTATTAGATTAGATAGAGACAGGGTCTCGCCATGTTGCTCAGACTGGTCTCAAACTCCTGGGCTCAAGCAATCCTCCCACCTCAGCCTCCCAAAGTGCTGAGATTGCACCTAAGCCATTTCTGATTTTAGTTGCTTGAATCTTCTCTCTTTTTTCTTCGTTAATCTAGCTAAGTGTTTGTCAATTTTGTTGATCTTTTCAACAAATCAACTCTTAGTTTAACTGATTTTTTTCTATTGTTTTTCTGTTCTCTATTCCCTTGATCTCTGTTCTGATCTTTATTTCATTCCTTTTGCTAGCTTTGTGTTTACTTTGTTCTTCTTTTTGTAGTTCCTTGAGGTGTAGAATTAGGTTGTTGGTTTGTGATCCTTCTCCTTCTTTTAAAAAATGTAGACACATTTTTTACATACATGTCTTTCATTTTCTTTCTTTTAAACAGAGACAGGGTTTTGCCATGTTGTCCAGACTCTGGTCTCAAACTCCTGGGCTCAGGTAATTCTTCTGCCTCGTCCTCTCAAAGTGCTGGAATTAAAGGCATAAACCACCATGCCTGGCTCTTTCTTCTTCTATTATTTATTTATTTATTTTAAGACAGGGTCTCACTCTGTCACCCAGGCTGAGTGCAGTGGTGCAATCATGGCTCACTGCAACCTCAGCTTCCCAGGACCAAGCGATTCTCCTGCCTCAGCCTCCCAAGTAGCTGGAACTACAGGCCTGCTTCACTGTGCCCATATTTTTTTTTTTTTTTTAGTGGAGATGAGGTCTCACTATGTTGCCCAGGCTGGTCTTGAACTCCTGGCCTCAAGCAATCCTCCCACCTCAGCCTACCAAAGTGCTGGGATTACAGGTGTGAGCCACCTCGCCCAACCTCTCCTCCTCCTTCTCCTTCTCCTCCTCCTTCTCCTTCTCCTCCTCCTCCTTCCCCTCCTCCTCCCCTCCTTCTCCTCCTCCTCCTCCTCTTCTTCTTCCCTCTTCTTCTTTCTTCCTCTTCCTCTCCTCCTTCTCCTCCCCCTCCCCTTCCTTCCCCTTTCCCTTCTCCTTCCCCCCTCCCCCTCCTCCCTCCTCCTCCTCCTTCTTCTCTCTTCCTCTCCCTCTTCTTTCTTCATCATCATCATCACCTTCTTCTTCTTCTTCTTTTTTTCTGTTGCAACAGTCTCGATCCATCGCCCAGCCTGGAGTGCAATGGCACAATCTCTCAGCTCATTGCAGCCTCTCCCTCCTGGGTTCAGGCGATTTTTGTGCCTCAGCCTCCCGAGTAACTGGGATTACAGATGTGCACCACCATACTAATTCTTGTATTTTTAGTAGAAATGGAGTTTCACCATGTTGGCCAAGCTGGTCTCGAACTCCTGGCTTCAAGTGATCCACCCACCTTGGCTTCCCAAAGTGCTGGGATTACAGGCATGAGCCACCACGCCGGCTGCTTTCTTCTTCTTCTTTTTCTTTTTTTCTTTCTTTCTTTTTTTTTTTTTTTTTGAGACAGAGTCTTGCTCTGTCACCCAGGCTGGAGTGCAATGGTGAGATCTTGGCTCACTGCAACCTCTGCCTCCTTCTCCTGGGTTCAAGCAATTCTCCCTGCCTCAGCCTCCTGAGTAGCTGGGATTATAGGCTCCCGTCACCATGTCCAGCTAATTTTTGTATTTTCAGTAGCGATGGGGTTTCGCCATGTTGGCCAGGCTGGTCTCAAACTCCTGACCTCAGGTGATCTATCCCTCTTGGCCTCCCACAGTGCTGGGATTACAGGCATGAGTCACCTTGCCCAGCCTCTTCTTTTTTAATGTAAGCATTTACAGCTATAAATTTCCCTTATCCCATAAGTTTTGGTATGTTGTGTTTTGTTTTCATTTGTCTCAAGATATTTTCTAATTTCCCTTGTGATTTCTTATCTGACCCTTTGGTTATTTAAAAGTGTGTTGTTTTATTCCCACCAATTTATGGATTTTTCCAATTTTTCTTCTGCCTTTGATTTCTAGTTTCATTCCATTGTTTTGAGGTGGAGTCTCCTTCTGTCACCCAGGCTGGAGTGCAGTGGCTTGATCTCGGCTCACTGCAACCTCCCCATCCTGGGTTCAAGCAATTCTCCTGCCTCAGCCTCCAGCGTAGCTGGGATTACAGGCATGCGCCACCACACCTAGCTAATTTTTTTGTATTTTCAGTAGAGATGGGGTTTCACCATATTGGCCAGACTGGTCTCAAACTCCTGACCTTGTGATCTGCCTGCCTCAACCTCCCAAAGTGTTGGGATTACAGGTGTGAGCCACCGCGCCTGGCCTCATTCCATTGTTATTAGAACAGATGCTTTCTATGATTTCAATCTTTTAAAATTTATTAAGACTTGTTTTGTGGCCTAACATGTGGCATATCCTGGAGAATGTTTCATGTGCACCTGGGAAAAATGTATATTCTGCTGTTGTTGGGTGAAGTTTTCTACAAATCAGTTAAGTTGAATCGCTCTACAGTGTTGATCAATTATTTCCTTATTGATCTTCCATCTGGTTGTTCTATTTTTTTCCTTTAAAATATTATGCTATAAATTGAAAGATAATACATTGACATCAGCCGGGTGTGGTGGCTCATGGCTATAATCCCAGCACTTTGAGGGGCTGAGTCATCCTCAGATCACTTGAAGTCAGGAGTTTGAGACCAGCCTGGCCAACATGGTGAAACCCCATCTCTACTAAAAATACAAAAATTAAGGCCAGGCGCTATGGCTCACGCCTGTAATCCCAGCACTTTGGGAGGCTGAGGCAGGTGGATCTCCTGAGGTTGGGAGTTCGGGACCAGCCTGGCCAACATGGAGAAACCCTGTCTCTACTAAAAAATACAAAATTAGCCAGGCATGGTGGCACATGCCTGTAATCCCAGCTATTCGGTAGCCTGAGGCAGGAGAATTGCTTGAACCTGGAAGGCAGAGATTGCCGTGAGCCAAGATCACGCCATTGCACTCCAGCCCGGGCAACAAGAGCGAAACTTCATCTCAAAAAAAAAAAAAAGCCAGGTGTGGTGGTGCGTGCCTGTAATCTTAGCTACTCAGGAGGCTGAGGTACGAGAATCACTTGAACCTGGGAAGCAGAGGTTGCAGTGGGCCAAGATCACACCACTGCACTCCAGCCTGAGCAACAGAGCGAGACTGTCTCAAAACAAACAAACAAACAAACAAAACAAAACAAAGATAATTGGTTGACATAACTCAGACTTTTTTTTTTTTTTTTTTTTTTTGAGACGGAGTCTCACTCTGTTGCCCAGGCTGGAGTGCAGTGGTGCCATCTTGGCTCACTGCAACCTCCGTCTCCCGGGTTCAAGCGATTCTCCTGCCTCAGCCTTCCGAGTAGCACCTGCCACTACGCCCAGCTAAATTTTTGTATTTTTTAGTAGAGATGGGGTTTCACCATGTTGGCCAGGCTGGTCTCGAACTCCTGACTTCATGATTCACCCACCTCGGCCTCCCAAAGTGCTGGGATTATGGGTGTGAGCCACTGCACCCAGCTGACTCAGACACCAGTTCTCCTCCTTAGAAGCGTCTAGTGTTACCTGTTTCTTAGGTCTATTCTTGAGCCCTTTAAACAAAATACATATATCTGGTGTCCTTCCTAGAGTTTTTGATACAGTTAGGTCTGGGATGGGTTTGGAAAACTGTGTGTGTGTGTGTGTGTGTATAGAAAATAGAGATGGGATCTTGCTATGTTGCGCAGGCTGGTCTTGAACTCCTGGACTCAAGCAATCCTCCTGCCTCAGCCTCCCAAATTGCTGGTATTACAGGTATGAATCACTGCCCCCAGCTTCCTCTGTCATTTGTTTTTTTTAGAGACAGAGTCTCCCTATATTGTCCATAGTGGTCGTGAACTCCTGGGCTCAACTGATCCACATGCCTTGGCCTCCCAAACTGTTGGGATTTCAGGTGTGAGCCACTGTGCCCAGCCCTCCCGTGTTATTTTTGATGGGAAAAGAAACTGGAAGCATTCTGAATTCTTTGTGAGGTGTGTTTTACTGTGGGTCAAGCCCGGAGACCTGTGGAATTGGTTTATCTCAGGGAGAGGCATGACTTGGGGGGGTCACAACTGCTGACTTCTAAGAGTCTGAGGAAGATGGTACAGGGACATTTAAGATCTTTGAGGTCCACAGACACATTTACTTTTGGAGGCCCCACCCCAGGTCACACGAAGCATGTTAAAATGCATCTGTACCCACAATTAAATAGAATCTATATCTAACAACATAACAGTCACATTGCCATTGCCTATTTGGCAAGTGTTACATTTTGCAGACAGTTAACATTTATTGTGATTGTGCCATTTTTATTTTTCGGAGTCAATCTTTTCTGTCTTCTTGTTGGTTGTTTTTTAGGTTGCAAACATTTTGTTAGACCTTGGCACTTTGCCACAGTGCCCGGTGGATGGAGCGGTGTGGGGTGTGCCAAGGCCAGTGGGTGGCACTTTAAGAGAGCCTGTGTTGGCTCAACAGAAGGAGCTTTCTAACCATGAGAGAGCTGCCTGTACCAGAAGAGCTTCCTGTTCCTGGAAATAATTTTATTTCAGGCCAGCTAACATCTACTTAGCACCTGGTGCATGCCAGGCCCTGTCCCACCATCAGAAATGCTGCAGGAAGAATTACTGTCCTCAATGGGAAGCAGGAAATGTGGTCTCTGGAGTCCCTTCCAGTCCAGTGATTTCATAGGTATGGGGGCATTGTCTAGCAGCTTGCCAGTCAAAGTGTGATTCCTGGGGCAGCAGCAGCAGCAGGATCAGTCAGGAGCTTCTTATAAATGTGAATCTCAGGCTTCACTCAGACCTACTAAATTAGAATCTGCATTTTTACAAGATCCTCCATGATCATGTACATATTACAGTTTGAGAAACAGTACTCTCACTCCCAGACAAACTTTGTTGATCTTACCAGCAATGCCATTCCTGGGCTGAACACAGCTATAAGTTTGAGGGCTCATTTGTAATTTAGGGAGGAGCATTGCCCTAATATTAACTGATAACCACCAGTGCGTGTCCCACGGACAACTCAGGGCCCCAACAGAGCCCGCCGAAGGCTCAGCCAGGGACCTATATTCTGGGGTCTAGGGTGTGCGTAGGGAGGGGGACTGCTGAGGGCTCACTGCCAGTCTCAGGGTACCCTCTGTGTTTGCAGAATCCCATTCTCTCCTGCCCAAGAAGTCTCCTTGGCTGTCCTGGGGTTAGCATGCGGCAGTCCATGGCATTCTTTGATCTGTAGGCCAAGGGCAGTTGCTGCTATGAGAGGTCTGTCACTGTGGGAGGGCAGAGCAGTGGGCACATGGAACCTGGGCAGGGTAGAATCCTGAATTTCTGTGCTACATTTTACATGCCATACTTGCAGGATGGAATGCCAGTCATAGTCACCTCCTCCCTAGACATCTGTTAACTGCCCTACTGTGTGCCCAGCACTTGGCAAACATCATCTGATTGATCTGCGTAACTAACCTCCCTAAAGTGGGGTGGCAGCTGAGGCTCACATGGGTGAGGTGACTTGCTCAGTCTGCACAGGGGCCTGGACTGCAGGCCTGATTTGAAGATGCCCAGATGTGGAGCCTGGAAGGGCTCAAGGTGGTCAGAGGCAAGCAATGGGGAAGTTATAGATAAAGCAGGAACATGAGCATGTGGCAGCCCAGCACTGGCCCTTGAAGAGTTTGCGGTCCTCAGGGTGTTAGGCAAATGCCCATGTGACTGAAATAGGGTGGAAGAACTCAGAAGGTGAAGCCTTGACTGCTGGGTGGCCACAAAGTTGCCAAAGAGCTGTGATCTCCCTCTCAGGGAACCCCGTGAAGGGCCCCGTGATGAAGAGAATGCTCTGGGCCTTAGCCGGGGCCTCCTGTCTGCAAGGCCTGGGTAAGGCTCCCCACTTGAATGCTTTCTAGTGGTTTCTTTTTTTTTTCTTTATTATTGAGACAGGGTCTCACTCTGTTGCCCAGGCTGGAGTGCAGTGGCACGGGATCATAGCTCATTGCAGCCTTGACCTCCTGGGCTCAAGTGATCCTTCCATGTCAGCCTCCTGAGTAGCTGGGACTACAGGCACATGCCACCATGCCTGGCTAATTCTTGTATTTTTTGTAGAGACAGGGTTTTTCCATATTGCCCATGCTGGTCTCAAACTCTCCTGGGCTCAAGCAATCCTCCCGCCTTGGCCTTCCCAACATGCTGGGATTACAGGCATGAGCCACCGTGCCTGACTATTACTCTTAATATCTTAGCTGATTCTTTTAGATTATTTTAGTATCTCTCTTTTTTTTTTTTTTTTGAGATGGAGTTTCGCTCTTGTTGCCCAGGCTGGAGTGCAATGGCACAATCTCGGCTCACCGCAACCTCTGCCTCCCGAGTGCAAGCTATTCTCCTGCCTCATCCTTCCGAGTAGCTGGGATTACAGGCATGTGCCACCATGCCTGGCTAATTTTGTATTTTCAGTAGAGACGGGGTTTCTCCATGTTGGTCAGGCTGGTCTTGAACTCCCGACCTCAGATGACCTGTCCGCCTCAGCCTCCCAAAGTGCTGGGATTACAGGCACGAGCCACCACACCTGGCCTATTTTAGTATATCTTACCGTTCTGATTTGTATTGTTCCGAATTATTTTTCCTTACTAAATGGTTTCATTTTCTCGTTTATCCTTTCAAACCTTTCAAGCTTTCTGGTTTCCTTTCACGTATCCTTAATTATCTGTTTTTATTGTTATATTTTCCTTTAATTAAAAAAATTGGCCAGGTGCAGTGGCTCACGCCTATAATCTTTGGGAGGCTGAGGTGGAAGGATTACTCAAGCCCAGGAATTGGAAACCAGCCTGGGCAACATAGGTAGATCCCGTCTCCACAAAATATCAATTAATTGGACATGGTGGCATGCGCCTGTAGTCTCAGTTACTCAGGAGGCTGAGGCAGGAGGGTCACTTGAGCCCAGGAGGGTGAGGCTGCAGTGAACCACGATCTTGCCACTGCACCCTAGCCTGGATGACAGAGTGAGATCCTGTCTCAAAAAAAAAAAAAAAAAAGTTATTTTTTCTGACTAGAAAAGTGTAATCTATTTTTATTTCTAATGTTTGAAAAATACAGGAAAGGATAAAAAACAAAATTAAAATATGGGGATAACAACCACTGTTGTTTTATTCCATTGTCTTCGAATATTTTTTTCTTTTTCTCTCTTTTTTTTTTTTTTTTCTTGAGACGGAGTCTCTCTCTGTCGCCCGGGCTGGAATGTAGTGGCACGATCTCAGCTCACTGCAAGCTCCGCCTCCCGGGTTCATGCCATTCTCCTGCCTCAGCCTCCCCAGTTGCTGGGACTATAGGCGCCCGCCACCACGCCCGGCTAATTTTTTGTATTTTTAGTAGAGATGGGGTTTCACTGTGTTAGCCAGGATGGTCTCGACCTCCTGACCTCATGATCCACCTGCCTCAGCCTCCCAAAGAGCTGGGATTACAGGCGTGAGCCACTGTGCCCAGCCAACTATTTTTTCTACTCATAAACACAGACATCACTTTAACACCTTGTCTGCAATATATGTTGTAAATAGTTTTCTGTGATTTGATGTTTGTAGAAAAAAACGTTTTGTTTGTTTGTTTTTGAAATAGAGTCTTGCTCTGTCACCCAGGCTGGAGTGCAATGGTGCAATCTCTGCTCACATCAACCTCTGCCTCCCAGATTCAAGTGAATCTTGTGCCCCAGCCACCCATGTAGCTGGGACTACAAGTGTGTGCCACCACACCTGGCTAATTTTTGTATTTGTAGTAGAGACAGGGTTTCGCCATGTTGGCCAGGCTGGTCTCGAACTCCTGACCTCAAGTGATCTGCCCGCCTCAGCCTCCCAAAGTGCTGGGATTACAGGCGTAAGCCACTGCACCTGGCCGGAAAAAAACTTTATTTATTTATTTGTTTGTTTGTTTATTTATTTATTTTGAGACAGAATCTCACACTGTCTCCAGGGCTGGAGTGCAATGGCACTATCTCAGCTCACTGCAACCTCTGCCTCCCAGGCTCACGTGATTCTCCTGTCTCAGCCTCCCCAAGTAGCTGGTATTACAGGGATACACCACCACACCCAGCTAATTTTTGGTATTTTTAGTAGAGACTGAAAATACCATGTTTCACCATGTTGGCCTTGGCTGGTCTTGAACTTCTGACTTCGTGATCTCCCTCGGCCTCCCAAGGGGAGGATTACAGGCGTGAGCCACCGCACCTGGCCAAAAACTTTATTTTTAAAAATAAAGTTGCATGTGCTTTCTATGGAAACTTCACACAATACTGATGGGTGTACAGCAAGGAGGAAATACTTTTTTCCCTGGGAAAACCAGCCCCAAAGTAACTAACCACTATGAACTAGAGTCTATCTTCCAAATCCACAGATTCTGTATCCATGGCTTCAGCCAACGGTGGGTCAAAAGTATTCAGATAAGAGCACTTTTCAAGGCAAAAGCGGCGGATCGCTTGACACCAGGAGTTTGAGACCAACCTGGGCAGTGTAATGGGAACCCATCTTCACAAAAAATACAAAAAATTAGCCGGGCGTGGTATGTGTGCCTGTAGTCCCATCTACTTGGGAGGCTGAGGTGGGAGGATCACTTGAGTCTGGGAGGTTGAGGCTGCGGTGAACTGTGACTGTGCCACTGCACTCCAGCCTGGGTGATAGAATGAGACCCTGTCTCAAAAAAAAAAACCTATATAAACATATATATAGTTATATATATATATTATATATAACTGTAACAATACATATGTACTTCAGAAAAAAAGAAAAATAATATAATTTTTAAAATGTAAAAATACAGTAAAACAACTATTTACATAGCATTTACATTGTATGAGATATAAGTAATCTAGAGATGATTCAAAGTATACGGTAGGTTGTGCATAGGTTATATGCAAATAAGGGACTTGAATATCTGAGGATGAGGATTTTGGTATCCATGGAGGTCCTGAATCAATTCCCCGAGGATTCTGAGGGATGGCTGACTGTATGTAGCACACATCCTTCTAGACCAAAAATGCATTTTCATGTATGTTTTAAACACTAATTATATTAGACACATTGTTCTACCTTTTGCTTTTTCATGTAACAACACATGAGGAGCATCTTTCTGGTTTTTTGTTGTTGTTCTTGTTTTTTTCTTTTTCTTATTATATGATGAGCCTCTTTTCATGTTGGCCCTGTGTGGGGTGGAGGTGGGGTTTTGAAGGGACCACTGCTGTGTTGAGGCTTTTGCCCTGAGCCAGGCAACCTTGGAAGGCTGCCCTTGCCAATCTCCAGAAAGGTTCCCACAGGAGCCCATGTACGTGGATCAGCAGTCAGATGAGGATCAAAGCACAATTCATTTCATTATTAGCTGAGCAAATGCCTCACACCAGAGAGGCCTGGATTTGAGAACCAGCACAAAATGTGCCCCCTCCTGACACTTCCATCTCATTTTGGTTCCATTTGACTGCACTTAGTGCACAGGAGGCCGGGAGACTGGCGTGTTAGAAAGTGGTTTCTTCAGGCCGGATGCGGTGGCTCACGCCTGTAATCCCAGCACTTTGGGAGGCTGAGGCAGGCAGATGGAGTTTGAGACCAGTCTGGGCAACATGGAGAAATCCCTTCTCTACTAAAAATAGAAAAATTTGCCAGGTGTGGTGGTGGAGGGCCTATTGTCGCAGTTACTCAGGAGGCTGAGGCAGGAGGCTCACCTGAGTCTGGGGCGCAGCGGAGGTTGCAGTGAGCCTAGATTGCACCACACTACTGCATGCCAGCCTGCAGCCTGGGCCACAGAGCAAGACCTTGTCACACACACACACACACACACACACACACACACACAGGCAGTTTCTCCAGTTTCCTGGTTCTCGGTAGAAGTGCTAGGGCAGCCTGCCAGTCCATGGGGTGGAACTCTGCCTGGGAAGGGGTTTTCTGAGACTCTTTGATAACAACTAACTTACATAGTTATGTGCCAGGCACAGTTCTAAGTATGCTTTAGGACATACTCATAAGAGCTCTGGAAGGCAGATACTTTCATAATAGTGTTTTAGTATAATAGTATCTAACAGAGGAGAAAATGGAAACACAGAGTAGTTACATGACTTGTCAGAGCTGTGTTCTGTAGTCCCAGCTACTCAAGAGGCTGAGCTGGGAGGATCACTTGAGGCCAGGAGATTGAGGTTGTAGTGTGCTATGACTGCATCTATGCATAGCTACCGTGCTCCTTCCCGGACAACATAAAGGAGGTCCTGTCTCAAAAATTAAAAATTAAAAAAAGTTGAAAAGAAAAAAGATCACACAGCTAACTAGCAAACATGGAACCTGGATTTGAACCTAGGCAGTTTAAAATCTGTTCTTTGCGTTTTTGTTGTTATTGTGGTTGTTTGAGACAGGGTCTTGCTCTGTCGCCTAAGCTGAAGGGCAAAGGTGCAATCACAGCTCACTACAGCCTCGACCACGGGAGCTCAAGCGATCGTCCCACCTCAACCTCCCAAGCAGCTGGGACTACAGGAATGTGCCACCATGGCTGGTTAATTATTGTATTTTTTTGTAGAAATGGGGTCTTGCTATGTTGCCCAGGCTGGTCTTGAACTCCTGGCCTCAAGCTGTCCTCCCACCTTGGCCTCCCATAGTGCTGAGTTTACAGGTGTGAGCCACCACGCCGGGCTTGTAGTGTCTTTTACTATAAAGTGATGACTGGGTATTGCCTGTTGCAGTCGCGCTGCGACAATGAGTATATGCATTTTCATTTTTCTTCTGGGTCAGGAGGCCGTGGGCAGTCTGAGCTTGCAGGCCTGGCCATGTCTAACACGGCCTCCCCTCCGGACACCGGGATAGGATAGAAGCTGGATTGGAGCACCGAGCCTGGGCTAAGCCTGGGAATCTGGCCAGCCCCATGGTAAGGGAACTTGCAGCTGATCAGCAGTTCCCAGTGTGAAGGCAGGTGAGGCAAGGCCAGGCTTGCCCCAAGGCAGCCTGGGAGCTGCTGGAACAACAGGGCCAACAGGGCAAACAGGGCGAACAGGGCGGGGCAGCCTAGGGAGCATCGGGCATGAGGTATGTTCAACACAGTGACCCCATCCGCTGCCAAACAGGACCCAATTAACACTTAGCAACTCCTCCTCCAAGCTTAGAGCATGTGGGAGGAAGGGGCAGAGAGGCCCTCCGGACAGGTAGAAGAGTGTGCACCAGTAATGCGTTCCTTCAAATTACTGCACGTCGCTCAGTCGGAAGGGTTAACTTACTCATGAATATTTAAGTTCCCTTCCCTGCCCTTTAAAAAATATTAGCAAAGCTGCTGGGAATCAGCCCTCCTACCCTCGACAAAGCTCTCTCTATTTATCTTCTTTTATGTCCTTCAGTAAAGTTGTATCGTTTTTGTCATATAGGCAGGCCACGGTTTTTGTTAAATTTATCCTAGGTATTTCACAACAGTTATTATTGTAAACTTTTTGCATGCACATATATTTATATTTTTATATTGTCAAATCTGTTACTTTGTGCCTGCCAACTTTGTTACTAGGCTTAGAAAGGCCTTCTCCACTCCAAGATTATGGAACTATTTGCTTATATTTTCTTTTAAAACTTTCATGTTTTTACTTAAAATACATACAAGTTTTTTGTTTGCTTTTAAGGAATGTAGGGGCTTTTCTTAGCATCTGGTATGAGATGGAGCTCAACTTTCTCTTCCAAATGGTTAGCCAATTGAACTAACAAAATGTATCGAACTACCCATCTTTTCTCCATTGATTCAAAATCCCCCCTTTATCACACATCAAATTCTTACATCTACTGAATCTCTTTCTCAGTTTTCTATTCTGTTCTATCGATCTGTTGGCTTATTCCTGGGTCGATACTACAAAATGACTTTATTTCTTATTAGAAAAGCAATAAAGGCTTATTACAGAAAGATCAGAAATATATAGACACTAAAAAACAAACAAACAAAAACACTTGTGCTTGCACCCAGGGATTACTACCATTTTACCTGGATGTTTATCACTCCAGATCATTTAATTTATATAAATGTGTATAAATATGTACATTCATAGAGTAAAATTGAGATCACACCATATAAATGGTTTTGTAAACTTTTTTCATTTCATAATACTTCAGGAATATGCTTCCTTGCCAGTAAATAGTCTTCTTTTTAAAACTTCTTAATTGTAAGATATAACATGCATACAGAAAAGTACACGAAATAAACACATTTAGCTCAATGATTTATCACAAAGCGAACACCCATGTAACCACTACTCAAGTCGAGAAGTACAACATTGTCAGCATCCTGGAAGCCCATCCTCTGTGCTCTGTGCTCTCTCTCTCTCTTTTTCTTTTCTTTTCTTTTTTTTTTTTTTTGAGACAGGGTCTCACTCTGTCATCGAGGCTGGAGTGCAGTAGCATGCTTGTGGCTCACTGCAGCCTCGACCTCCCAGGCTCAAGTGATCCTCCCACCTCAGCCTCTCAAGTAGCTAGGACTACAGGTGTGTGCCACCACACCTGGCTAATTTATATATATTTTTTGTAGAGATGGGGGGTCTCACCATGTTGCCCAGGCTGGTCTTGAACTCCTGGGCTTAAGCAATTCTCCCACCTTGGCCTCCCAAAGTGCTAGGATTACAGGTGTGAGCCACCACACCTGGCTTTGTCTATATCTCTTGGTGTATATATGTAAATCCTTCTATTGGTTGTGTACCTGGGAGTGGAATAGCCAGGTTATAAGGTTTGCCTATGTTCAGTTTTCATAGATACCAAAAATAGTTTTCTAAAATGATTGCATCCTTCTACCACCTGTGTAAGAGAATTCTGGTTGTTAATTCTTGATATTGTCAAGAATTTTAATTTTAGCCATTCTGATGATGTCTCATTGTGGTTTTATCTTATTTTTCATGCATAGGCAAAATACTTCTTGTTTAAAAAGATGCCCCCCCCCCAATTTTAAACTTTTTTTTCCCCTTCCCAAATGACCTAATGACTTGTTAGCCTGATGCCTAATAAACAAAATCCAAGGTGGCTGTGTGGATTTCTACTTGGTAGCCTCAATACCGTTCTTGCAACCCAGCATTCACACATGTGCAGTGAGTTTATTGAAAAATAGTCTGTTCTGGTCTGGGCGCGGTGGCTCCCACCTGTAATCCCAGCACTTTGGGAGGCCGAGGCAGGTGGATCACAAGGTCAAGAGATCGAGACTATCCTGGCCAACATGGTGAAACCCTGTCTCTACTAAAAATAATAAAATTAACCGGAAGTGGTGGCACACGCCTGTAGTCCCAGTGCAGTGGCGCAATCTCAGCTCACTACAACCTCCGCCTCCCGGGTTCAAGCGATTCTGCTGCCTCTGCCTCCCGAGTAGCTGGGATTACAGGCATGAGCCACTGCACCCAGGCTGATATGGTTTGGCTGTGTCCCCACCCACATCACATCTTGAATTGGAACTCCCACAATTCCTATGTATTGTGGGAGGAATCTGGTGGGAGGTGATTGAATCACGGGGGCAGGTCTTTCCCGTGTCGTTCTCGTGATAGTGAGTAGGTCTCATGAGATCTGATGGTTTTAAAAATGGGAGTTTCCCTGCACAAACTCTCTCTTTGCCTGCTGCCATCCATGTAAGATGTGACTTGCTCTTCCTTGCCTTCTGCCATAACTGTGAGACTTCCCCAGCCACATGGAATTGCAAGTCCGTTGAACCTTTCTTTTATAAATGGCCCAATCCCAGGTATGTCTTTATCGGCAGTGTGAAAACAGACTAATACACAGCCTAACAAGAATTCTTATGTTTGAATCTTGCACATTTAACCAGCATTGAACCAGAGACGGGGTGATCCAAACTCATCCATGATTCTTGTACAGTATAGCCCATGTTTTCCACCATGTCATAAAGGAGATAGATAAAGGAGATTTTTTTTCACGTTTGCAACTAAACTTGTCTGCCAAGTAAGGACTAGTAGCCAAAAACCTCTTCCAAGTATAAATTGTAGGTTATTGGAACTCTATCACCTTCAAAATGAAAATAAATTCAAGCACTTGGATCAAGCTACACAAGTGTTTCCGCAGTAGAATCAGGAATTATTACAAACACCTAGCACCAAGTAGAGATATGCATTAGAAGGCTACCCAGGACAGCTATAATATTACATTTCATTATGAACTCACCGGTTGTATTATCAGGGATGATATTATGTTTTATTTCAGGATAAAACAAACAAGTAACTATAGTTTTAATCAAGAGTTTTAGTTAAGGCTTTATAAAAGGACTTTATGAAAGCAAAAGGATAACACAATTAGATGCTGTCAACAAAAGACTTTTGAAAGATTTCCATCCCCCAGTCGGGATGCATTTGTCCTTTGATGGTATCAGGGCCACAAACTTCACTGGCCACATTATAAAGGGGATCTGCATCAGCAGGACCTTTGGAATACAAAGTAGGATTTTGATAAATAAACAGAACACATCTTTCACAAGAGCCTAATTTGGATGGTCAGATGCTTTTTAGTTCAGTCAGCAAAAAGATGGAATCCTCCTTCGGCAGGGTCAGAACCCCTTAGATATTCTCTGCAGATATTTATTAAATATAACCAGTTTAATTGATCTATTGAGCATACTCTTGCATGTGGTTTTGAGCACACTAAAACGTTTTGTTTGAATATATTGATTATATTTGAATATAATCACTATATTCACAAGAATCTTCAACCAGTCTGTGAGAACCCTGAGGACACAATTTTCCTTAAAACAACACTGCAAATATATTCACTATACATTTTTTTCTTATGCTAAAAAATGGAAGAATTTGGAAACCACAAATAATAAATAAAATGATTACCTATAGGAGACGAAGGAGACAGGATGGAATGGATGGGGTAGAAAGTATACTTCCTGGAGTATACCTTGTTTTGTACATTTAACTCTAGAATTATGTGAATGTTTAACATAAGAGTAAAACAAACTTAAATCAACATGTATCGGTAATTTGTGTCTTTCTTTTTTCTTGATCAGTCTATCTAGAGGTTTATCAATTTTATTGATCTTTTCAGAGAACCAGCTTTTGGCATCATTGATTTTTCTCTAATGTTTGTTTGTTTCTTATTTTATTGATTTCCTCTCTTATCTTTTTTCCTCCCCTCTACTTTCTTTGAGTTGAATTTGCCCTTCTTTTTCTAGTTACTTAAGGTGGAAAGTTAATTTTAAAAATTTCTTCTTTTCTAATGCTAATATTTGCACATCTATGAACTTCCCTCTAAGAATAGTCTCTATGTGTGTGTGTGTGCATGCTTGCTTGTGTGTGTGTGTGAGTGTGTGTGTGTGTTTGATAAATTGTTTTTGGTTTTGGGTTTTTCTTTTTTCTTTTTTTTTTTTTTGAGACCAGGTCTGGCTCTATTGCCTAGGCAGGAGTGCAGTGGTACAAACTCTGCTCACTATAACCTCTGCCTCCTGGGCTCAAGGCATCCTTTCACCTCAACCTCCCGGGTAGCTGGGACTACAGGGGCACACCACGATGCCCGGCTAATTTTTGTAGAGATTGGGTTTCACCTTGTTGCCCAGGCTGGTCTCGAACTCTTGAGCTCAAGCGATCCTCCCACCTCAGCCTCCCAAAGTGCTGGGATTACAGGTGTGAGCCACTGCATCCGGCCTGTTTTTTGTTTTTAAATTACAAATTCAATTTCTTTAACAGATACACCAATATTCAGATTGCCTATTTCCTCTCAATCCCTTTGGTAATGTGTGTTTTTAAATGACTTTTCAAAGAATGCCAGGGTGTTTAAAGAGATCTGTCTACTCTGGATGGCTAGAACTCAAACATCCCTGAACTCTCATGAACCTTGGGATAGTTAGGCTTATAGCTCTCTGGTAGTGGTTCTTTGCCTGCCTTCCATATCTGAAAATGACACATGTACATAGCTTTAAGGGCCTGCTTCTCCCAGGGCCTCTCAGTGGGCAAAGCTAGGGAATAAAGTGTATATCTATATATGCATATCTATATTCATTTTTATGTCTGTATTGAAAACCATGATTCACATAACACCGCCAGTTCCAATCCAACCCCACAATGTACACTGTAGCTTTCCCCTTTCCATATTTGTAACTGCCTTCTCTGACAATGAGAAACTCTACTCTGTTGTCTTTGACATATTACATGATTTGATCAATTGCCTTACATGTAACCAGCCTCTGACTGCTGCCGCCTCCCTCCCCGCCCCCATGTGGATGGCTTCCTGTCTCCCAGCAGAAGTATCACCTTCCCCACACGAAACTCTCCTCTCCCCTCACCTCATGCCAGGTTGTACTTGGCAGTCCCCTCACCCTGTTTAGACTCCAATGCCCCCCACCAAGCTGTCCCCAGTGGGTACATCTCCTCACCCTGCTCATGCTCTCACTTTCCATATACACTGCCTCACTCTTGTGGACTCTCGGCCCACTCGGACTCTGATGCCCCAAGCCAAGCTGCCCCTCCACGAGCTCCCTGCTCTGCCGGTCCAAGTGTCAGCACTGAATTTTTCTGAAAGGGGAAGGCTGTTATAATGTTAGATATGATTGGGTGTTAAGTTTCTTCCACTATAGTTTTCAATTCATTATTTCCAATTAGTAAGTAATTTTTGTATGTTGATCTTGTATCCAATGATACTGACAAACTCACTTTATTAGTTTTGGTATCTTTTCTTTTTTTTTTTTTTTTTTTTTTGAGATGCAGTCTCACTCTGACTCCCAGGCTAGAGTGCAGTGGCATGATCTTGGCTCACTGCAACCTCCACTTCTTGGGTTCAAGCGATTTTCCTGCCTCAGCCACCTGAGTAGTTGGGATGGCAGGCATATGCCACCATGCCTGGCTAATTTTTGTTTTATTTATTTATTTGAGACAAGGTCTTCCTCTGTGGCCCGGGCTGGAGTGCAATGGCACGATCTCGGCTCACTGCAACCTCTGCCTCCTGGGTTCAAGTGATTCTCCTGCCTAAGCTTCCTGAGTAGCTGGTAGTATAGGCGTGCGCCACCACAGGCCGGCTAATTTTTGTATTTTTAGTAGAGACAGGGTTTCACCATATTGGTCAGGCTGGTCTTGAACTCCTGACGTCAGGTGATCCGCCTGCCTCAGCCTCCCAAAGTGTTGGGATTACAGGCATGAGCCACTGCGCCTGGCCTAATTTTGGTATTTTTAGTAGAGACGGGGGTTTCACCATGTTAGCCAGGCTGGTCTCAAACTCCTGACCTCAAGTGATCGTCCCGCCTCGGCCTCCCAAAGTGCTGGGATTACAGGCGTGAGCCACCTCACCCAGTGGTATCTTTTCTTTCTACTACATTTTATTGGGGCTGCTGGTGGTATACAGAAAACTATTCGTTTTTTCTTTTAATAGAGACGGGGGTCTTGCCATGTTGCCCAGGCTGGTCTTGAACTCCTGGGCTCAGGCAGTTCTCTGGCCTTGGCCTCCCAAAGTGCTGGGATTACAGGCGTGAGCCACCGTGCCCAGACTCTTTTTGATATTTCAACAAAATATTTATACCACAGAGCAGAGAAGAAGCAAAAAAACACAATGAGCAATGTGCATAGGTCCTGGCCCCATGTCAGGCATTGCAGGGAAACTGCTGTTAATGCATCTGGCCTGTGCACTTGCCATTTATGTCCTTTGTGGCTGTGCTTGGGTGGGGGAATCTGGACATGTAGGGAAAAGATATATCACAGCTGAAGGGGGCTGGGAGGACATTTTTTTCCATGGGGACACTGAATAAACACTATGTTGTGTGCCTGCGTTTTTGATTGTGACACACAGGAGGGCAGGTGTGGAATTTTCCACTTGTAGTGTCATGTTGGTCCTTAAAAAGTTTCAAATTTTGGAGCATTTTAGATTTCCTATTTTCAGATTAGGGATGCTCGAGTCGTGTTAAAAATGAATAGTGGCCTGGGCACGGTGGCTTATGCCTGTAATCCCAGCACTTTGGGAGGCCAAGGCAGGTGGATCATCTGAGGTCAGAAGTTCGAGACCAGCCTGACAAATGCAGTGAAACCCATCTCTACTAAAAATACAAAAATTAGCTAGGTGTGGTGGCAGTATGGTCGCCCCATACCAGAGAGCAGGGAACTGGTCTAATTCCTTGCTGTATTTCCAGCACCTAGGAGAAGGGACAGTGAAGCGCTCATAAATATGTTAAAATGAATTAATGGAGCAACAGTTGGCATGGGCCTTGAAGGCTAAGAATACACTAGACAAAGTAAAAGAGGAACAAACCGGCTGGGCGCGGTGGCTCACGCCTGTAATCCCAGCACTTTGGGAGGCTGAGGCGGGCAGATCACAAGGTCAGGAGTTCAAGACCAGCCTAGCCAAGATGGTGAAACCCTGTCCCTATTAAAAATACAAAAATTAGGCTGGGAGCGGCGGCTCACGCCTGTAATCCCAGCACTTTGGGAGGCCGAGACAGGCGGATCACGAGGTCAGGAGATCGAGACCATCCTGGCTAACATGGTGAAACCCCATCTCTACTAAAAATACAAAAAAATTAGCTGGGCGTAGTGGCGGGCGCTTGTAGTCCCAGCTACTCGGGAGGCTGAGGGAGGAGAATGGCATGAACCTGGGAGGCGGAGCTTGCAGTGAGCCGAGATCGCGCCACTGCACTCCAGCCTGGGCAACAGAGCGAGACTCCGTCTCAAAAAAAAAAAAATTAGCTGGGCGTGGTGGCAGGTGCCTGTAATCCCAGCTACTAGGGAGAATTGCTTGAACCTAGGGGATGGAGGTTGCAGTGAGCCGAAATCGCGCCACTGCACTCCAGCCTGGGCGACAGAGTGAGACTCCATCTCAAAAAAAAAAAAAAAAAAAAAGAAGTATCAAAAAGACTTGCAGATCTCCCTGTGGGTAACAGTAAGAAGAAAAAGAGGATAGGCCAGGCACAGTGGCTCACACCTGTAATCCCAGCACTTTGGGAGGCCGAGGCAGATGGATCACCTGAGGTCAGGAGTTTGAGACCATCCTGGCCAACATAGTGAAACCCCGTCTCTACTAAAAATAAAAAATTAGCTGGGTGTGCTGGCGGGTGCCTGTAATCCCAGATACCTGACAGCTGTTCTGCTCATCCTCCCGCTGAAGTTCTCATCAAAAATAGTATTTATCAGCCGGCCGTGGTGGCTCACACGAAAAAAATATTTTTTGTATTTTTTTGTAATCCCAGCACTTTGAGAGGCCGAAGTGGGTGGATCACCTGAGGTCAGGAGTCCGAGACCAGCCTGGCCAACATGGTGAAACCCATCTCTACTAAAAAGACACACTCACACACACACACAAATAGTGTTTATGCCATGTACTTTCCCCCAAATGTGATTTCATCAATTCAGCCACGTGACCAGGATATCCTTAGATCAATGAAGAGTAATTATGAAAACACTTTCTTGAACAATATGCTAGCAGCAGTGAACAGAGGCATGGGGAAGGAAAGTTTTCAAAAGGCGTTTAGCAGGAAGGATGCCATATATGCTATTGCCAGCGCTTGAAACAGTGACCAAAGACACAGCTGTGCATGCCTGGCAAAACCTCTGGCCTGGGACTACGTTCAGTGATCATGATGAACAAAGTGGTGACTTTGAAGGATTTTTTTTTATGTCAAGTGAGAACAAAAATAATGTTTGACCTTCTTACATACGCCAAAAATATATCTTCAGAGTCTGTCAGTAACCTACAAGGAGTGGATATCAAGGAAATTTTTAACACTGCTAATGAACCTCCCGTTGTTCATTCATTGACCAATGGTGAAATAGCTGAAGTGGTTCTGAATCAAGGTGATTGTGATGGTAGTGATGAGAAAGATGATGCTGGCTAGGCATGGTGGCTCACGCCTGTAATCCCAGCACTTTGGGAGGCCAAGAGGGGTGGATCACCTGAGGTCAGGAGTTCGAGACCAGCCTGGCCAACATGGTGAACTCCTGTCTCTTCTAAAAACACAAAAAATTAGCCAGGCATGGTGGCGGGTGCCTGTAATCCCAGCTATTGGGTAGGCTGAGGCAGGAAAATCGCTTGAAGCTGGGAGGTGGAGGTTGCAGTGAGGTGAAATCGTGCCATTCCATTCCAGCCTGGGCAACAAGAGCAAAACTCCATCTCAAAAAAAAAAAAATGACTATAGACAACATGGTGAAAATATGTGATGGGCTTATTGGACGACTAGAGCAGTGTACATTCATAACCGAACAAAAAATCGTGTGAGTTTGTAAAATCAAAGAGAGAGTTCTAAGACAAAGAACCGTTGTTAATGAGGCAGATGACTCCAGAGAAAACATTCAAAAAAAGCCATCCAACAGAGTGCCTCCTTATCCCCAGAGGACCCACTTCCTGGTCCCTTAACTGCTTCTGATGTTTCTTCTCATCTAAAAAATAAAATGCGAAGTACAATAACCTTTTAATCAAAACACAGCATCGTAGGTGGAGACTGAATGCTGTCGTTAGTTGCTGTTGTTTCACAGCTGATACAGATTCTGGTGATGCTACGATGCTGCCTAGTTACCGGGAACATGTTATTTTTTTTCATTGTATTAATAGTGTGTCATATATATATTTTTTTACTGTTAAGTACTTTTGTGTGAATAAGAAAAGACTGCTTATCGGTAACATAAAAATTCAGAGTCAAGAATGGCAGTGATGCCAAACAACCACAGATTGTCCAGATGGGTGGCTGAGAGAGTGACACCTTTGCTTTTTATGGTTCAATATATAAACTTTGTTTCATGCACAAAATTAATAAAAATATTCTATAAAATGATCTTTAAGCCACGTGTATAAAGTGTATATGAAACATAAATGACTTTCATGTTTGGCCTTGGGTCCCATCCTCAATTCCAATATTCCAGGATCCAAAAAAACCCCACCAAAATCCAAAACACTTATGGAACCCAGGCATTTCAAATAAGGGATACTTAACCTACATACGATCCTGTATCTAGCTGCATTACTAGTTTTACTTATTACAGGGTTTTGTTTTGTTTTCTTTTCTTTTGTTTGAGACAAAATCTCACTTTGTCACCCAGGCTGGAGTATAGTGGCGTGACCATGGCTCACTGCAGCTTCTACCTCTCGGACTCAAGTGATCCTCCCACCTCAGCCTTGCAAGTAGCTGAGACCACAGGTGTGTGCCACCACGCCCGGATACTTTTGGTAGTTTTTGTAGAGACGGGGTTTCGCCATGTCGCCCAGGCTGGTCTTGAACTCCTGGGCTCTAGTGATCCACCTGCCTTGGCCTCCCAAAGTGCTGGAATTATAGGGGTGAGCCACCAGGCCCAACCTACAAAATTTTAAAGTTGTTTCTCTTGGAGTGATACAAATAATGACAGCTTTATCTCATCTTTTCTAGTATTTATACTTAAAAAATATTAATGAATTAGCTAGAATATCCAGTACAATGGTTGCTTTTTTTCACTGCTCTATCCGCAGCACCTAGCACAATGCATGGCCTATAGTAGGTGTTCAGTGAATACTTATTGAATGAACAACAACAAAAAAAATAGATTTAGCTGATTCTTATTGTACTATTCAAATCCTCATTTATTTTGGGTTGGAAGTTCTGAATAAGTTTTTCCTGACAGCTGGCATTCACCTTTCGTGTTTATATATCTAAGAGCATAAATCAGCTGTCTATGTGTCTCTGCCCACAAGCTTCATGCATTATTCACAAGTTACTGGAAAGGGGAAGATAAAGGGCGGTTTTTATTGTACCAACATTGCTAGTGCTCAGGAGCCTTAGGTTAGAGAACAGGTTTGGATAGAGAGCAGGAAGTGCTGTGTGTCAGTAGGAGACACTTGCAAAATATGCCACCACAAAATGTGCCACTTTGGCATAAGGATTATTTTGAGCCGGAGGTAAATGAGAATCAACAGATGCAGAAAGAAGCCTTCCTGGAGCTTTCCTTATCTGACTAAAAGCAGAAACTTCTGAGAAAAGAAGACTGCCATAAATTCCCTCTCCCAGGGAAGTTTTATGGCCATGAGAAAGAGGGGAAATTGGCGCTGAGATGGACTTGCACACACAAACCTTATTCCATTAGTTTCCCCCATATATTTACCTTCCCACAGTTTGCTGCCCAGGGAAGCCTAAAACCTATCTCCTTTGTCATGTGACTTCTCTAGAAATTCATTGTTTTTTTTGCTAAGGTGCTGTATAAGCCCAAGTCGTAACCACCAATGTGAGTTACTCATCACCAAGGTTTCTTTCACATCATGTGCACAAGTTAATAAACTTGTTTGTTTTTCTCTTGTCAATCTGTCTTCTGTCAGTCTAGTTTGCAGCGTCCCAGCCAGAGAATCTAGGAGGGTAAAGGACAAAACACTTTTCTTCCCTTAGAACTATAACATCCCAAAGTTTGCATTTGAATATTGAATCCAGCAGTTTACGTAGCCCTGCAAGACTTGTTGCGTTGCTGAGTGACAACCTTTGGCCACAGGCAGTGGGAAATTGTTAAAGTAGAAAGACGCCTCCCCCAAAGCAGGAAGTTTGTTAGGAGAAACAGTTGTCTTGAACTTGAGAAAAACTTCCAACAGAATGTTCATTTTTTGTCTTCTTGATCTGATGATTTCTAAGGTTCTCCCACTATAATGACAGTTTTATCTGCTATTTCTCAAATTTCCGTTTTTCATGTATATACTTGGTGGGATTTTTCTTATTTTTTTAAATGCAATCAGTTTTGTTATTGTTTGTTTTTGTTTTTGCTTTTTTTTGAGAGAGGGTCTCTGTTGCCTAGGCCCTCAACCTCCCAAGGCTCAGGTAAACCTCCTGCCTCAGCCTCCAGAGTATCTAGGATTACAGGCATGGGCCACCACGCCCAGCTAATTTATTATTATTTTATTTTTTGAGATGGAGTCTCGCTCTGTCACCAGGCTGGAGTGCAGTAACACAATCTCGGCTCACTGCAACCTCCGCCTCCCGGTTCTGAGCAATTCTTCTGTCTCAGCCTCCTGAGTAGCTGGGACTATAGGCGCGTGCCACCACGCCCAGCTAATTTTTGTTTTTTAGTAGAGGCAGGGTTTCACCATGTTGGCCAGGCTGGTCTCAAAGTCCTGACCTCAAGTGATCCTCCCCCATCAGCCTCACAAAGTGCTGGGATTACAGGCATGTGCAGCCGCGCCCCGCCAAAAATAATTGTTTTTAAGGATTATTTTTCTTGTTTCTTTTCGTATCATCTGCTGAATTTATCACATTTTCTTTGTCCCATTTTTTTTTTGCAGTTGTGGTTTGCAAGTTATGTATGCTATTTTTGTTATTCTGCTAGTTATCCTTAATTTTTCAATGTTATGCATGAGCTTAGTGGAACAGCCAAATCATCGAATTAGTCTTGTTATGAGAAACAGAAATCTCCATCCTCCCTCTACCATCTCCTTCTCCCCAGAGGAAATCACTCTTATTCCTTTTTTTCTTTTTTTTTTTTTTTATTTTGAGACGGAGTCTCACTCTGTCACCCAGGTTGGAGCGCAGTGGCACGATCTCAGTGCACTGCAACGTCTGCCTCCCAGGTTCAAGCAATTATCCTGCCTCAGCCTCTTGAGTAGTCGGGATTACAGGCACTCGCCACCACGCCCGGCTAATTTTTGTATTTTTAGTAGAGATGGGGTTTCGCCATGTTGGCCAGGCTGGTCTTGACCTCCTGACCTTCAGTGATCCATCCGTCTCGGCCTCCCAAAGGGCTAAGATTATAGGCGTAAGCCACCGTGCGCGGCCTCTTTTTTTTTTTTTGAGACAGAGTCTTGCTCTTGTCGCCGAGGCTGGAGTGCAGTGGCGCCATCTCGGCTCAATGCAACCTCCACCTCTGGGTTCCAGCAATTCTCCTGCCTCAGCCTCCCAAGTGGCTGGGATTACAGGCATGCGCTGCTACGCCTGGCTAATCTTTTGTATTTTAGTAGAGACGGGGTTTCACCATGTTGCCCAGGCTGGTCTCAAACTCCTGAGCTCAGGGAATCCGCCCGCCTCGGCCTCCCAAAGTGCTGGGATTACAGGCGTGAGCCACTGCACCCGGCATAGGCCTCTTATTCCTTTTGATGATTCTTCTCATATTTACTCCTTTATCTCTAAATATTACACATATATTGCTACTTCTTGATCATTTTCAATTTTAGTTATCATCTGTTGATTTTCAACCATAGAGGATGAAGACTGAACTCTTTCACTATCAGTACACATTCACACACATACGCACACACACATGCACCTTCCCAATTCTCCCAAACTGGTAGGAGAATGAATGAATACATTTTGGTACATTTGCACAATGGAATATTATACAGCTTTGAAAGTGAATGAATTAAAGAACCAGGGAACAGCAAGTATGAATCTGGATGGTATCATAATGAGTGGAAAAAGCATGTCTCAGGTGACCACACAGAGTGATACCCTTTTTATAACATTCTAAACCAAGTGAAAGGAAACAATTCATTGTTCAGGCCCCTATAAATGTGATGAAGCTGTTTTTAAAAACCAAAAGGGCCTGATGCTGTGTCTCACTTAAGGCCATGATTTCAAGATCAGTCTGGGCAATATAGCAAGATTCCTTCCTACCAAAAAAAATTTTTTTAAATTAGCTGTGCGTGGTGGTGCACACCTGTAGTCCCAGCTACTCTGGAGGCTGAGGTGGAAGGATTGCTTAAGCCCAGGAGGTGGAGGCTGCAGTGAGCTATGATCACACCACTGAATTCCAGTGTGTGTGACAGAGTGAGACCCTGACTCATAAAATGAAATACTTAAAAAAAAAAAAAAAAAAAAAAAGAAGAAGAAGAAGAAACACCAAATTTAGGATGGTGGTTATCTTTAGTTGGGGGAGGCTGGGAGATGGGAAAGGCAAGAAGCCCATGGATATTATTGGCTAGTTGGGCTGTGGATTCAAATGAGGGTTCATTATATAAATAAATGCATGCATAAATGCACACATAAGCAAATCAAAGTAAACAAAACGAAAGAGATAAAGCATGAGCTGAACAATGATAATGTGTTCTTAACTACACAGACTTCATAGCAGTGCTGCGCATCATGGTAAAAATTCTGGAAATTTTTATCAAATTAAATTGCTTTGAAAATAAACTTCCCCACCTCCACTTTCTCTGTTTCTTCTTTCTTAACTGCTTATTATTTGACCAGTGGACCTCCTGTATTGATTTTTTTTTTTTTTTTTTTTTTTTTTGGCAAAGTCTTGCTCTGTTGCCCAGGCTGGAGTGCAATGACACGATCTCGGCCCACTGCAGCCTCTGCCTCCCAGGTTCAAATGATTCTCCTGCCTCAGCCTTCCAAGTAGCTGGGACTACAGGTGTGTGCCGTTATGCCTGGCTAATTTTTTTTGTTTTTTTTTTGAGATGGCGTCTCACTCTGCCGCCCAGGCTGGAGTGCAGTGGTGTGATCTCAGTGGTGATCTCAGCCCACTGCAACCTCTACCTCCCAGGTTCAAGTGATTCTCCTGCCTCAGCCTCTTGAGTAACTGGGATTACAGGCATGTGCCACCACACCCAGCTAGTTTTTGTATTTTTAGTAGAGACGGAGTTTCACCATGTTGGCCATGCTGGTCTTGAACTCCTGACCTCAGGTGATTTGCCCGCCTTGGCCTCCTGAAGTGCTGGGATTACAGGTGTGAGCTACCATGCCAGGCTTGATTTTATTTTCTATTTTCTCTTCTATTTTCCATCTCTTTGTCTCTGTCTCTTTGCTCTATTTTCTGGGAGATTTCCTCCACTTCAATTCCAACTTTTCATTTCTACCGTCATGTTTTTAATTTCCAAAAACTCATCTTCAGAAAATTCCTGAATGTTCCTTTTCTATGGTATCCTTTCTTTGCAGTATATCTGCCTCCAACTCCTGCTCTAGGACTCAGTCTTCCTGGGTATGCTGCATCATTTACCAGCCGTCCATCTATTTATTGTCTTACTATTGTCCTCTCCACCATTCTCCACTTCTTTATGGGTATATGTCTCTTAAACAATACTTTACCATAATTTAATTGTTTTTTCAGGAAGTTCTCTACCCTGAAATTTTTATGTAAATATTTACAATTGGCTGGGTGCGGTGGCTCACGCCTGTAATCTCAGCACTTTGGGAGGCTGAGGCAGGCGGATCACTTGAGGTCACAAATTTGAGACCAGCCTGGCCAACACGGTGAAACCCCGTCTCTACTGAATACCCAAAAATTAGCTGGGCGTGGTGGTTTACGCCTGTAGTCCCAGCAATTTGGGAGGCTAAGGCAGGAGAATCGCTTGAACCTGGGAGGCAGAGGTTGCAGTGAGCCAAGATTGCACCATTGCACTCCAGCCTGGGTGACAGAGCAAGATTCGGTCTCAATAAATAAATAAATAAATAAATAAATATTTACAATGTATTTATATATCAACCTCTAGATTTTAATAAGAATCTATATCGTACCTTCAAATAAAACAAGAAATCTTTTACTCTCTTTCTTCCCTCTTTCATTTATTCTCCTCTTCCCACCTCCCATGTTGAAATAATCAGAGATTCCCATTGCAGAGTTTTGTTTTGTTTATTTTTAATCCACACCTTCTTGGACATCAAAAAGTTTTACTGGCTTCTTTACCCACCACTCCTTATATCTCACATCTCCCTCTTGGATTCTGTCTTATCAATTGCTGCATTAAAAATTATCAATATTTGGCCAGGGATGGTGGCTCATGCCTGTCATCCCAGCACTTTGGGAGGCTGAGGCGGGCGGATCACAAGGTCAGGAGATCGAGACCATCCTGGCCAACATGGTGAAGCCCCATCTCTATTAAAAGTACAAAAATTAACTGGGCGTGGTGGCACGTGCCTGTAATCTCAGCTACTCAGGAGGCTGAGGCAGGAGAATCACTTGAACTAGGGAGTTGGAGGTTGCAGTGAGCTGAGATCGCGCCACTGCACTCCAGCCTAGGCGACAGAGTCAGACTCTGTCTCAAACAAAAACAAAACAAAACAAAAAATTATCAATATTTAGTGGCTTAAAACAAAATATGGCTGGGCGCTGTGGCTCCTTCCTGTAATCCCAGCACTTTCGGAGGCCGAGCCCAGTGGGTCGTTTGAGCTCAGGAGTTCAAGACCAGCCTGGGCAGCAAGGCAAAATTCCTGTCTCTACAAAAAATACAAAAATTAGCTGAGCAGGGTGGTGTGCACCTGTAGTCCCAGCTACTCAGGAGGCTGAAGTGGGAGGATCGCTTGAGCCCAGGAGGAGGAGGTTGCAGTGAACTGTGATTGCACCACTCCACTCCAGCCTGGTTGACAGAGTAAGACTCTGTCTCAGGTAAAAAACAACAACAACAACAAAAAAGAAACATGTATTATTTCACAGTTTTCCTGGGCCAGGATGCAAGCATAGCTTAGCTGGGCCCTCTGATTCAGGGTCTTTTGAGGCTGCAATCAATGCTGGGCTCTCCTCCAAAGGGTTGACTGGGGAAAGATTCAGAATTTAGTTTATTCAGGGCTGTTGGCCTCAGGGTCTCAGTTCCTAGCTGGATGTTGGCTGGAGGCTTCCCTTGGGCCTTTGCAATATGGATATCTCCATAGGGTAGCTCACAACATGTCAGCTGGGTCCTCTGAGTAAGCAAAGGAGAAAATTTTCTAGCAAAATAGAAGCCAGAACTTTTGCTGTCTCCTATCGGCTAGAAGCAAGTCACAGGCCCACCTACACTCATGGAGAGGGCATTACACAAGGGAGTGAACACCAACAGGTGGGGATCACTGGGGACCCTCTTAGTGTCTGTCTGCCACAAATTCCTAATTTTTCTTGTTGAAACACATCCTCTAATAATTCTTTCATATGTGGTTCTTGGCTGGTAAAATGTTTTAGATCTTGGCCGGGCGCGGTGGCTCATGCCTGTAATCCCAGCACTTTGGGAGGCCGAGGCGGGTGGATCACCTGAGGTTGGGAGTTCGAGACCAGCCTGACCAACATGGAGAAACCCCGTCTCTACTAAAAATACAAAATTAGCCGGGTGTGGTGGTGTGCGCCTGAAGTCCCAGCTACTCGCGAGGCTGAGGCAGGAGAATCACTTGAACCCGGGAGGCGGAGTTTGCGGTGAGCCAAGATCACGCCACTGCACTCTAGCCTGGGCAACGAGAGCGAGACTCTGTCTCAAAAAAAAAAGAAAAAAAAGTTTTAGATCTCAAAGGTCTGAAATGGACGTGTTTTGTTCTCCACTTGGTGGATAGTATATGTGGGGATAGATTTCTGGGCTCATAATGTTTTTCCCCCTTGTAAGGCCGAGGTGGGCAGATCACCCGAGGTCAGGAGTTTAAGACCAGCCTGGCCAATGTGGTGAAATTCCGTCTCTACTAAAAATACAAAAATTAGCCGGGCATGGTGTCAGATGCCTGTAATTCCAGCTACTCGGGAGGCTGAGGCAGAAGAATTGCTTGAACCCGGGAGGTGTAGGTTGCAGTGAGCCGTGATTGCACCATTGCACTCCAGCCTGGGCAACAAGAGTGAAACTCCATCTCAAAAAAGATAATAAGAAAAATAAAAATAAACGTTTTTTCCCCCTCAGACTTTGTCATTATCTTCTTGCATCCAGTGTTACCAAAAGAAGAGCTGATGCCAATCCAATTTTTTGTCCCTTTTTAGTTGATCTGTTTTTCCTCTCTTAAGGAAGGATTTCTTTAAAAAAGTATTTTTAGAGATGGGTGTTTCACTATGTTGCCCAGGCTGGTCTTGAACTCCTGGCCTCAAGTGGTCTTCCCGCCTCAGCCTCCCAAATAGCTTGGATTACAGGCGCATGCCGCCACAACCCACTCCAAGACTTATCTTTTATCTCTGATATTGTGAGATGTCACCACACTGTCACTGGGTACAGTTCATTTGTTTTTTTTTTTCTTTTTTTAATTGACAAATAAAATTGTACATATATGGTGAGCAACATGATGTTTTGAGATATGTAAACACTGTGGAATAGCTATATCAAGCTAATTAATGTATGCATTACTTCACATACTTATTTGTACTAAGAACACTTAAAATCTACTCTCTTAGCAATGTTCAAGTATATAGTACGTTGCTTTCGACTATAGTCACCAGGTTGTACAATAGGTCTCTTGAACTTATATTTTCTGTCTAACTGAAATTTTGTATCCTCTGACCAACATCTCCCCAGTCCCTGGCAAACACCATTCTATTCTCTGCTTCTATGAGCTTGACTTTTTTACAGTTCACATACAAGTGAGATCATTCAGTATTTGTCTTTCTGTGTCTGGCTTATTTCACTTCACATAATGTCCTCCAAGTTCATCCATAGCAACATAGAAAGACTTCACCTCTACAAAAACATTGTTTCTTAATTAGTTGTTGCAAATGACAGGATTTCCTTGTCTTTAAAGGCTGACGGGTGCAGTGGTGCCTGCCTGTAATCCCAGCACTTTGGGAGGCCGAGGAGAGCGAATTGCTTGAGCTCAGGAGTTTGAGGCCAGCCTGGGCAACATGGTGAAACCCTGTGTCTGCAAAAAAATACAAAAATCAGCTGGGCATGGTAGCACATGCCTGTAGTCCCAGCTCCCCGGGAGGCTAAGGTGGGAGGATTGCTTCAGCCTGGGAGGTCAAGGCTGCAGTGAGCTGTATTTGTGCCACTGCACTCAAGCTGGGGTGACAGAGTGAGACCCTATCTCAAAAAAGAATAAAAAATGAAAGAAAGAAAGAAAGAAAGGAAAGATGGAAGGAAGGAAAGAAAGAAAGAAAAGAAGAAAAGAAAGAAAGAAAAGAAAGAAAGAGAGAAAGAGAGAAAGAAAGGCTGAATAGTATTCCACTGTGTATGTATACCAACATTTTCTTTTTTTTCTTTTTTTTTCTTTTTTTTTTTTGAGACAGAGTCTTGTTCTGTTGCCCAGGTTGGAGGGCAGTGGCATGATCTCAGCTCACTACAACCTCCGTCTCCTGGGTTCAAGTGATTCTCCTGCCTCAACCTCCTGAGAAGCTGGGACTACAGGCACATGCCACCATGTCCAGCCAATTTTTTGTATTTTTTGTAGAGATGGGGTTTCACCATGTTAACCAGGATGGTCTTGATCTCCCAATCTCAGGTGATCCGCCCACCTTGGCCTCCCAAAGTGCTGGGATTACAGGTGTGAGCCACCACGCCCTGCCTATACCACCATTTTCTTTAACTATTCATCCATTGACAGTTAAGTTGATGACCTATCTTGGCTATTATGAATAGTGCTACAGGAAACATTGGAGTGCTGGTATCTATTTAACATACTGATTTCATTTCTTTGGGATATATAAATCACATATGGTAGCTTTATTTTTAAATTTTTGAGGACTCTCCATGGGTTTTTTTGTGGGGGAGACAGGGTCTTACTCTGTCACCCGGGCTAGAGTACAGTGGTGTGATCATAGCTCACTGCAGCCGTGGTCTCCTGTGCTCAAGCAATCTTCCCACCTCAGCCTCCTGAGTAGCTGGGTCCACAGGCACGTGACATCACACCCGGCAATTTTTTTTTTTTTTAAGTAGAGACAAGGTCTCAATATATTGCTCAGGGTGGTCTTGAACTCCTGAGCTCAAGCAATCCTCCTACTTGACTGGGATTACAGGTGTGAGCCACGTAGCCTAGCCATCTATCTATATATACTGTATTGTAGTGTATATAATTAATCTAAAGTCTCCCTGATTTCTCTGTTTCCTGAGTTTGGTATCTCTGTTTTAAGGTTGTGTTTTTCCTCAAATATTTTTTGATTCCTGGATGTGCGACTGTCTTTTGTATTTGAGCATCCTTGTTAGCTTTCACAGAAGACCTTGACAATGGGCTAGTCATAGGTATTGCTCACTTCTTGCTTCCTAAAGAGCAGAAAGTTAATTCAGTTTGGGCAATTGCATGTTCAGCCAGCTCAGGTAACAAATCATGATTGTTCTAAATCAATTGTTGTAATTCCAATTCCGTTTTTTTTCCAGCCTCTCTTGCAGCAGGGCTGATGTGTGACAAAGTTCTGGCCAATGAGATGTAAGTGGAAGCCTACTCAGGAATTTCTGGGAAAACTTTTACTTTATCATAAAAGGGACACTTTTATGAGTGAAAACTCAGTGACACCACATCTTTCCCTTCTTCCTTCGACATGATGTTGTGTCCGGAGTTGGTTCCTTCCAGTGGGTTTGTGGTCTGGCTGACTTGAAGAATGCAGCAGCAGACCTTTGCGGTAAGTGTTACAGCTCTTAAAGGCAGCACAGACCTGAAGAGTGAGCAGCAGCCAAGATTTATTGTGAAGAGCAAAAGAACAAAGCTTCCACAGTGTGGAAGGGGACCTAAGCAGGTTGCCACTGCTGGCTGGCCGGGCGGGGGGGGGGTGTGGGGGGGGGTGTGGAGGGGAGCTTTTATTCCCTTATTTGTCCCCACCCATGTCCTGATGATTGGTCCATTTTACAAAGTGCTGATTGGTCCATTTTACAAACCTTGGGCTAGCTACAGAGCGCCAATTGGTGCATTTTTACAGAGCACTGATTGGTGCATTTTACAAACCTCTAGCTAGCTACAGAGCGCTGATTGGTGCATTTTACAATCCTCTTGTAAGACAGGAAAGTTCTCCAAGTCCCCACTCGACCCAGGAAGTCCAGCTGGCCTCACCTCTCAATGTTATATCTGAAGTGCGGCAGCCATCACATGACCATAAGGAAGCTGTATACTAAGGATGATGAAGTGGAGAGGTAGAAAATCTGTTTTCTGTATAGCTTCCTTGAGTTAGAGACACTAAACCTGAAACCACCTATCTCTAGACATCTCGTGATGTAATTTAATTAAATGTCTTTTTTGCTTGAGTCATTATTAGTCAGATTTCTTATTATTTGCTAAACATTACTAACTAATGTGACCAGTGTGTGACACTGTGACTGTTTGCTACATCCTGAATCCAATTATTATGGTAGAGGAATGGGATACTTTGCTGGGTGGGTTGAGCAAGTAGCTTATGTTTTTCTCGTGTTGGTGGTCTTCCAGAGCACTGCCTTACTTTTTGAGCTCAAGTTTTCACCCTGCTACTCCTTTTTTGTTGTTGTTGTTACAAAATATTGAAAACTAATAAGATGTTTATTGAAAGAACAGCAACACAAGCCAAAATAAACCTATAACAATAGACATAATGAAACAAAAACCAAAATTCACTGGGGAGGAAAAAGATTTAAACAAACATCCTGGGAATTCCTATCTAGGGCACTCCTTTGTGTGCCAGGCGCCCATTATGTGTCAAACGTCATCTGATAACATCGGTGAAAAATCTTCATTCACACTTTCTTGGTGCAGAAGACATAGACCTGATGACGAAGTCACTGCGAAGTGGTTTCTGGAAGTGTTTTCTGGTGGCGTCTTAAGGTCGCGGGCCGACCGAAGGCTCTTGGACGCTTGGAACATATTTGTAGGATTTCTCTCCGGAGTGGATGCGCTGGTCCTCCTTCAGATTCGTCTTGTAGGTGAAAACTTTCTTGCAGTCTTTACATTTGAAGGGCTTCTCCCCTGTGTGGCTTCTCTTGTGGCACTTCAAGTAGGACTTCTGGGTGAACTGCTTCTGGCAGACGTCACACGTGTAGGGCCTCTCCCCAGTGTGGGTTTGCTGGTGAAATTGCAGGCCTATGCCCTGCCTGAAGCGCTTCCCACAGAGATTACATTGAAAGAATCTCTTTCCTGTGTGTGATCTCTTGTGGATGGCTAGCTTGCCTCAATACTTAAACCTCTTATTGCACACCTCACATGCAAAGAGCAGCAGTTCCTTAACTTCTTGGCCATCGGGGTGACTGACCGGGCCCGCAGGGCCTGGGGGATAGACTGAATTTATCTCAGCTTGTCCCTGTCACCCTGCTACTCCTGACTGCAGGCAGAGGCCTCTGCTGTCCTCTGTTTGGTACAAGCAGGGGAGGAAAGCAGGGAGCCAGACCCTTGTTCCTACTGTGATGCCTGAATTAACCACCTTCATGGTGCCCCAGAGCTTCCTCCTCTTCCCCGTATCTACCGTCTCCAAGCTTAGAGCCCCTAAGATGCTCTTGACTTGTAGAGCAATCTTTTCTTGCATGTGGTTTAGGCTGTGGTTTCCTCCTGTAGTCTAGCTTCATTCTCCTTCTGCCTTTCAGAGGTTCCTGATCATTTATGGTCTACTGAGAGCACTCTGTTTTCCAGTGTTGCCACTGTGTGTGTGTGTGTGTGTGTGTGTGTGTGTGTGTCTGTGTGTGTCTGTGTGTCTGTGTGTATCTATGTGCCTACTTCACATCTGATCCAAAAAGTGTGATTTGTATTCATGAAAAGAATAGGCCGGGTGCAGTGGTTCATGTCTGTAATCCTAGCAGTTTGGGAGGCAGAGGCAGATAAATCGCTTGAGCTCAGGAGTTCGAGACTAGCTTGGCCAACATGGCAAAACCCATCTCTACAAAAAAATACGAACATTAGGCAGACGTGGTGGTGTGTGCCTGTAGTCCAGGTACTTGGGAGGCTGAGGTGGGAGGATTGCTTGAGCCTGGGAGGCGAAGGTTGCAGTGAGCTGAGATCACGCCACTGCACCCCGGTCTGGGCAACAGAGCCAGGCCCTGTCTCAAAAAGAAAGAAAGAAAGAAAGAAAGAAAGAATAGTCAGCCTTATTTTTAAATATCTAAATTCTCTCTTCTAGGACTCTATCTGAAGAAATAGCAGAATTATAGTCGAAGTTTTATATTCAAAGATTTCCTTTCCAGCAGTATTTGTGTAATAGGATTAATATCTTACAAAGTATCAAAGAGCCTTTCCAAGTACAGAACCTTCTGTGTGTGGCTTGAAGCATCCAGCCTGCCTAGAGGCAGAAGAGGTGTGGGAAGTAAAAGTATTAAGGTTTACTAGAATTCATTATTTCTTTGAAATTGATACGTGTCCCTATAATCAATGTTTGCTGACAATAGCTGTTGGCCAGGCAGTAGTTTCGATATGGTTGTCATTGTCTGCATATATGAAAACTTGATCTGAAAACCTTCTATTAACACCTTCTATAAGATTAAAAGAAGAAAAAGGGACAGGAGGTGCAGCATAAAAACCTGCAGAATGAGGCCAGGCGCAGTGGCTCACGCCTGTAATCCCAGCACTTTGGGAGGCTGAGGCGGGTGGATCACTTGAGGTCAGGAGTTCGAGACCAGTCTGGCCAACATGGTGAAACCCTGTCTCTACTAAAAATACAAAAAATTAGCCAGGTATGGTGGCGGGCACCTGTAATCCCAGCTACTCAGGAGGCTGAGTCAGGAGAATCGCTTGAACCCGGGAGGCAGAGGTTGCAGTGAGCCGAGATCGTACACACTGCACTCCAGCCTGGGTGACAGAGCAAGACTCTTTCTCAAAAAATGAAAAACAAAAAAACTTGCAGAATGAGTGTCAACAGTTGGGAAGGCAATCCCAGAGGCAGTGGTGGAGCACTGGATGAAGAGATCCCGTATCAACAACTCTCTCAATGCACAGGCAGCAATGCTGTATAGAAAGACACGGTCATTATCGACTTTGATATGAAAAGGGGTTCAGAAGAATCAATGTCTACATCAGTCTCTTCTGTAAAGAAGTTATAGAAATACCTTCCAACTATTTCACTGAGATTTTCCTTTTTACATATGCACAAGATGATATATAAAAATATATGTCTAAATAAGTCTAAAAAGAGCTTTTTGAATGAGTGTAAACCAAAATTCTAAATAAGAATGCATTGTTCACAATTTAATTGGCAGTTTGTTTTTCTTTCTTAGGAGTACCTAAAATAACAGTGCATCTTACAACTGATGGTGCTAGTTGTGGTGAAATGCAAAATTATAGAAAGTATGAGGAGAGGAGAAGTAATTAATATCTAGTTCTGACATTCAAAATAGATTATGCAGCAAGACATTAGCCTTGCAAAATAGGTGTTTGTCTTAAGAGATCTTCCAAATTATTTTCTTTTGATCCTACGCACAGATATCCTTTAGCACTTCAACAACCAAGACCAGAGGACTTAGCCTGTAGAGTTGTCCCCTAAGTGGAAAAGAGAGCCCTTTCAGCCTAGATTGTGGGCCTCAAGGCTTGCTGCCTCGCTGGAGGGATGTGTGTGGCAGAGCAAGGTGGAAGCCTGCCTGTTTGAGGCCATGGGGAAAGTGGGAAGAAGAAAGCAGTGAAGGGCCGGGTTCGGTGGCTCACTCCCAGCACTTTGGGAGCCCAAGGTGGGCGGATCACTTGAGGTCAGGAGTTCGAGACCAGCCTGGCCAACATGGTGAAATCTCGTCTCTACTAAAAATACAAAAATTAGCTGGGCGTGGTGGTGCATGTCTGTAATCCCAGCTACTTGGGAGGCTGAGGCATGAGAATAGCTTGAACCCAAGAGGCAGAGGTTGCAGTGAGCTGAGATTGCACCACTGTACTCCAGCCTGGGTGACAGAGCAAGACTCCGTCTCAACAACAAAACAACAACAAAAAAAGGCAGCAAAGGAGGAGAGGGATTCAGGCAGAAATGCGACCAGAGTTAGAGAAGTCAGTAACTCAGCGATACCCATGGTGAGGGGGGCTTTGCCTCTCTTCTGCTTGGAGCCCCTGAAGGAGGCTGCCTTAGAGGAAGCCCTGTAACTCTCCGAGGCACAGTCTCATCAATTAAGGCACAGTTTGAGCAGGCAGAGCAAGGATCTGAGCTTCAGCCTTCCTGAACTTCTGTACAGCCCCCATGGGGTGAATGGGATCCTGATGTCACTAGGGTGGGCTGTGAAGTTGCCAGAGGGGATCACCCTGGATTCAGAAGAGGCCTGAGCAAACCCACAGCCAAAGACCCCTCGGCCTCCCTCCCACTCCTGCCCCTGGGATCTCAGCAGCCACAGTCCTGCCCCTAATACTCCCCGGCTGCCACTTGGGACAGGAGCGGAAGCTGGACTGCTTTTCTTAGAGAGACTGAGACCTGTGTATAAGGCTTACTGGATAGGACTAAGTTTTCAAGGTAACTTTTTCCCCCCACACTAACCAGAGAAGAGAACTTGGGAAGTAGAAAAAATAAAAGAACTGCATTTTTTTCTTTACATCCCAGATATAGTTGAGCTGCATTTTAAGACCCTGCTACATTTAGAAAAATGAAAGTGTGGAAACAAATATGTTGTGATAGGAGAATGATTTAACAAGTTACTACACATGCATAAAATGGATTTTTACACAGTTATTAAAATTATGTTTTTTAAATTTTGAATTTATTTAATTTAATTTAAAAAAACTAAATTATTCAATTTAATTTTTTTAAAAAACTAAATTAACTTAATTTTTTAAAAAAACTAAATTATTTAATTTAGTTTAATTTTTTTGGTTTTTTTTTTTTTAGATTTTAGAGACATGTATGTCTCTCTCTGTTGCTCAGGCTGGAGTGTGATGGCACAATCACAGCTCACCGTAGCCTTGAACTCCCGGGTTCAAGCGATTCTTATGTCTCAGCCTCCCAAGTAGCTGGGACTACAGACACCCACCACCATGCCCAGCTATTTTTTGTATTTTTAGTACAGACGGGGTTTCACCATGTTGGCCAGGCTGGTCTCAAACTCCTGGTCTCAAGTGATCCTCCCACCTCTGCCTCCCATAGTGCTGGGATTACAGGCGTGAGCCACCGCACCCAGCCCTGGCTAATTTTTTAAATGTTTTGTAGAGACAGGGTCTAGCTATGCTGCCAAGGCTGATCTTGAACTTCTGGCCTCAAGCCGTCCTTGAGGATCAAAAAGATAGAGTCCTTCTACAAGACCACTAGCCTGGACTCTGAAAAAAATGTCGATGACATGAATGTTAAAACAAGGCTGTGGGCTCTGAGCTCGGAGATGGTAGGTACAGGGAACAGAAGGAAGCTCTGGGACACCGGGAAGGTGGTTAATTCAGGCATCACAGTAGGAATAAGCGTCTGGCTCCCTGCTTTCCTCCCCTGCTTGTACCAAACAGGATAGCAGAGGCCTCTGCCTGCAGTCAGGAGTAGCAGGGTAGGAACTTGAGCTCAGAAGGTAGGGTAGTGCTCTGGAAGACCACCAACACTTAGGAGCAAGAAAAAGCTAAAAACATAAGCTGCTGATTCAAGACATCTTGATGGAGATGAGTGCTCCCAGACGATGAGGAAGATGACATTGAAGCAGCAATGCCAGAAAACAAATTGCCATTAGACAGTCTGGCAGAAGGGTTTCCATTAGTTAAGACTGCCTTGACTTCTTTTATGACATGGACCCTTCTATGATACAGGCACTGAAACTCAAGCGAATGGTGGAAGAAGGATTGGGACCATATAGGAACACTTTTCAGAGAAATAAAGAAGCAAAAAAGTCAGACCGAAATTCTGATGTATTTCTGCAAGTTGCACTGAGTGTGCCTGCCTGTCCTGCCTCCCCTTCCACCTCTTCCACCTTTGCCACCCCTGAGACAGCAAGACCAACCCTCCTCTTCCTCCTCCTCGGCCTAATCAATGTGAAGATGACAAGGATGAAGAACTTTATGATGATTTACTTAATAAATGGTAAATATATTTTCTCTTCCTTATGATTTTCCTAAAACATTTTCTTTTCTCTAGCTTACATTATTGTAAGAATACATCATATAATACATATAACATATAAAATAAGTAAAATGTTTATGCCATTGGTAAGGCTACCAGTCAACAGCAGGCTATTAGTAGTAAAGCAATTTCTGCTGTTCCAATAAAAAGAAAGAAAAAAAGTAGTTAAGTATCTGGAGAGTGAAGAGTTATATGCAGATATTTTACTGCACTGGGGAAGGGGGATGTCAATGCCCCAACCCCCCGCATTGTTCAAGGGTCAGCTGTATTAAATTGTAAACCTCTTTTTTTTTCTTAAAGAGATGAGGTCTTGCTATGTTGCCCAGACTGGTCTCAAACTCGTAGGTTCAAATGATCCTCCTGCCTTGGCCTCCCAAACTGTTAGGATTGTAAGCATGATCCACCACGCCCAGCCTAAAACGTAATTTCTTTTTTTTTTTTTTTTTGAGATGGAGTCTTGCTCTGTCACCCAGGCTGGGGTGCAGTGACATGATCTCGGCTCACAGCAAACTCTGCCTCCCGGGTTCAAGCAATTCTCATGCCTCAGCTTCCCAATATAGCTGGGATTATATTCTCACGTCACCATGCCCGGTTAATTTTTGTATTTTTAGTAGAGACAGAATTTCACCATGTTGGCCAGGCTGGTCTCGAACTCCTGGCCTCAAGTGATCCAGCCGCCTTGGCCTCCCAAAGCGTTGGGATTATAGGCGTGAGCCACCATGCCTGGCCTATTCACATTGTTGTACAACCATCACCACCATCCATCCATGGAACTCATTTCATTTTGCAAAATGGAAACTCTGTGCCTGTTAAACAACATCCTCCCTTCCTCTTCCCTCTGCCCCGGCAACCACTATCCTGCTCTCTGTTTCTATAAATTTGACTACCCTAAGTACCTTATGTAAGTGGAATCATAGAGTATTTATCCTTTTGCAACTGGCTTTTTTTTTTATCACTTTGCATAATGTCCTCTAGGTTCATCCATGTTGTAATATGTGTCAGAATTTCCTTTGTAAAGCTGAATGATATTCCATTCTGTTGTGTATACCACCTTTTGTTTATTCAATCATCTGTTAATGGATACTTGGGTTGCTTCTATGTTTTGGGTATTGCAAATAATGCCCACTATGAACGTGTATAGACAAATACCTCTTCGAGCCCCTACTTTCAGTTCTTTTGGATATATACCCAAAAGTAGAATTGCTGGACATATGGTGGTTCTATTTTTAATTTTTGAGAAACTGCCATACTGTTTTCTATAGTAGCTGTACCATTTTACATTCCCACCAACAGTGCACAAGGGTTTCAATTTCTCCACATTCAAACTTGAAGACTGATATATACAAACTTATCTGATGAACTAGAGTCTTCCCGCACATGCAGGAAAGAGAATGAAGCTCTGAAAGAAAATCATCATGTGTAAGGAAGATGCTGGCAGACAGGATACAGTAGCAGGGTCAGAGGGCACAAGGATTTCAGGGACCCCATGTGCCTGTGCAGGTCTACCCTGACTCAGACACTCCACGAAGTTCCTGTGGGTAACTGCAAAGCCATTTTTGTGTCGATACATTGATCTTTCTCTTATTAATCAATAACAGCTTCTCATATTTCCCAATTTGTCATTATATTCAGAACTAAATACAACCCTGAAAGTTTATTTGAAATGCCATCTTTGTAATATCCTTTTAAAAAAAGATATACTCTTTTTTTTTTTTTTTTTTTTGAGATGGAGTTTCGCTCTTGTTGCCCAGGCTGGAGTGCAATGGTGCAATCTCGGCTCACCGCAGCCTCTGCCTCCCGGGTTCAAGCGATTCTCCTGCCTCAGCCTCCCGAGTAGCTGGGATTACAGGCATGTGCCACCATGCCTGGCTAATTTTGTATTTTTAGTAGAGATAGGGTTTCTCCATGTTGGTCAGGCTGGTCTCAAACTCCGGACCTCAGGTGATCCACCCGCCTCGGCCTCCCAAAGTGCTGGGATTACAGGTGTGAGCCACCACGCCCAGCCAAGATATGAATACTCTACTTGCAAATATTTCTTGGTTTTTTATTTTATTTTTAAGTAAAAGCAAGTTTATTAGGAAAGTAAGGAATAAAAGAATGGCCACTCCATAGACAGAGCAGCCTCTTGGCTTTTTATACTGGTCCACTGATGTGTACATGTAATGCCATGGTTTACATTTTTTTAGTTTTATGAGATAATCTAATAACCAACAGGGCAAGTTCCCCTTTGTGAGTCCTATCAATCTGAACTTGAATTTTCCTGCTGCACTTATTTTTCTAGGTGTATCTATTCTAGAACGATTAGAGCCCCTGGAGTGACAATTGCCAGGGCTTAGGACATAATGATGCTGGGCCTCCCAGGCAGGTCTCTCTCTGCCCAGCAGGAACCTCCATGGTAATCACAGTCAGTGATGGTAACTTCCCCTAAGGTATTCCCATTATGCCAGACTGACTTGGCTCTCTCTTTTTTTTTTTTTTTTTTTTGAGATGGAGTCTCACTCTGTCACCCAGGCTGGAGTGCAGTGGCACGATCTCAGCTCACTGCAACCTCCGCCTCCTGGGTTCAAGCAATTGTCCTGCCTCAGCCTCCCAAGTAGCTGGGATTACAGGTGTACACCACCACACACGGGTAACTTTTGTATTTTTAGTAGAGACAGTGTTTCACCATGTTGGCCAGGCTGGTCTGGAATTCCTGACCTTAATGATCCGCCCACCTCAGCCTCTCAAAGCGTTGGGATTATAGGCGTGAGCCACCGCACCCAGCCAAGTGCCCTCTTTCAGTGGATCTCTACTGCTGCTCCACCCAATGCGGCTGACTGGACCAGAGCACCTGAAAAACTTCCCTGTTTCCAGGGACGAATTAAACCTTCTTTTCCCTTTGACTAGAGGTCTCCATACTGGGCGCAGGTCTGTCAGTGGGTGGCTGTGGTTTCAGAGGTGCCTGAGACTCCTGTCGGCTGGTATTACATTTTGTTCTTTATCCCTGAAGCTATCTGAAGACAGAGTTTTAGAAAATAATACTTTTCGTAGTCAAAGTTGGAAACATTTTAAGGCTGACTGTAAGGGAAACCCTTTGACAGAGCAGTGTGGCCAGTGTGATTTCTGTGGGCATTGACTCAGGGACCTTCTCCCGGCTCCTCTGCTCTAATTACTGGATATCGTTCTGCCTGATCAGACAGACAGGCTGTCTGCTTGGACATCTGGTCACATTTCGATGGTATTTAAATATTTATTTGTCTTATCTCTGAGGATTAGAATGTCAGAATCAGGGGTTTCTCTTAGAGCTTCCACTGCAAATATTGATCTAAATGAACAAATCCTCAATGTTCATAAAGAAACAGGCTCCTTTGCTAAATGGGAACAATCTTGGAGAAACTCTACCCTGGTATTTCTGCTTTGAGGGCTAGCGTTAGGGAGGTATCCTGTCAACATTACCTTGCGAACTGTCATACTTGCACCAAATATCAGGGATCAGGGAGAAGTAATCATTTCCCAAATTCTGTCCCTCAGCCAAGTCATCCACATCCTGTTGTAGTCAGGTTATGTTGACTGGGAAGAGTAAGGGTCTTCAGAATCCATTTGTAACATTTGCTATATGAAATTATGTTGGTTGGGCAGGGTGGCTCACACCTGAAATCCCAGCACTTTGGGAGGCCGAGGTGGGCGGATCACCTGAGGTCAGAAGTTCAAGACCAGCCTGGCTGACATGGTGAAACCCCGTCTCTACTAAAAACACAAAAACTAACCAGGCATGGTGGCAGGCACCTGTAGTCTCAGCTACTTGGGAAACTGAGGTGGGAGAATCTCTTGAACTCAGGAGGTGGAGGTTGCAGTGAGCTGAGATGGTGCCACTGTACTCCAGTCTGGGAGGCTGAGGTGGGAGGATCACTTGAGCCCAGGGGTTCCAGACCAGCCTGGGCAACATAATGAATCCTCATCTCTACAAAAAGTAGAAAAAATTAGCTGAACATGGTGGCGTGTGCCTGTAGTCCCAGCTACTCAGGAGGCTGAGACAGGAGGATTGCTTGAGCCTGAGGAAGTCGATGCTGCAGTGAGCCATGATCACGCCATTGCACACTAGCCTGGATGAGAGCAAGACACCGTCTCAAAAATTTTAAAAACTGGCTGGGCTCAGTGGCTCATGCCTGTAATCCCAGCACTTTGGGAGACTGAGGCAGGTGGATCACCTGAGGTCAGGAGTCGAGACCAGCCTGGCCAACTTGGCGAAACCCTGCCTCTACTAAAAATACAAAAATTAGCTGGGAGTGGTGGCAGGCACTTGTAATCCCAGCTACTTGGGAGGCTGAGTCAGGAGAATCGCTTGAACCCGGGAGTTGGAGGTTGCAGTGAGCCAAGATCATGCCACTGCCCTCCAACCTGGGCAACAGAGCAAGACTCTGTCTCAAACATAAATAAATTAATTAATTAAATTAAATAATTAAAAAATTAGCCAGGATTGGTGGGAAACACCTATTGTCCTAGCTACTCAGGAGGCTGAAGCAGGAGGATTGCTTGAGCCTGGGAGTACGGGATTATAGTGAGCTATGGTCACACCACTGCACTCCACACTGCACTCCAGCCTGGGTGACAGAAGGAGACCCTGTGTCTAAAAAAAAATAAAAAATAAAAATGTGAATGCCTCAATGCCACATAAATGTACACTTAAAGATAGTAAAGATGGTAAATTTTGTTATGCATATTTTACCACAGTTGAAAAAATAAAAAATTGGCCGGGCGCAGTGGCTTACGCCTGTAATCCCAGAACTTTGGGAGGCCGAGGCTGGCAGATCACGAGGTCAGGAGATCGAGGCCAACCTGGCCAACATGGTGAAACCCCGTCTCTACTAAAAATAGAAAAAAAAAAAAATAGCCGGGTATGGTGGCAGGCGCATGTAGTCCCAGCTACTCAGGAGGCTGAGGCAGGAGAATGGCGTGAACCCGGGAGGCGGAGTTTGCAGTGAGCCAAGATTGTGCCACTGCACTCCAGCCTGGGCGACAGAGCAAGACTCTGTCTCAAAAAAATAAATAAATAAAAATAAACAATAAAAAATAAAAAAAAGCAAGGGACTGATAAACACAAAATTAGGATGGTGGTTACTTTTAGTTGGGGGAGGATGGGGATGGAAAAGGCAAGAAGCCATGGATAGTTATTGGCGATAGTTATTTGCAATAGTTATTGGCAATGTTGTAGTTGGGTGGTGGAGAGTTTATTATAAAAAGTATTATTATTATTTATTACTATTGCAAAAATAACCATGTATGGGGCAAATAATGACAGTGGGCTCTTTAAAATTTTTTTTCAAGTTTTTAAAAATTATACTTTAAGTTCTAAAAATTTTTTTAATTTAATATTTTTTTTTAGGCAGGGTCTCACTCTATTGGCCAGGCTGGAGTGCAATGGCACGATCATTGCTCACTACAGCCTTGACCTACTTGGCTCCCCTCCCACCTTCACCTCTCAGAGTGTTGGGATTTCAGGCATTCACCACTGCACCCAGCCTATAATGTGTTCTTAATTAAGAATTACAGTCTTTTTTTTTTTTTTTTTTGAGACAGAGTCTTGCCCTGTCACCCAGGCTGGAGTGCAGCGGCCCAGTCTTGGCTCACTGCAACCTCTGCCTCCTGGGTTCAAGCAATTCTTCTGCCTCAGCCTTGCAAGTAGCTAGTAGCTGGGATTACAGG